>NC_000012.12:110035885-110187400 GCF_000001405.40 Homo sapiens
GCCTGGACAACAGAGTGCGACCCTGTCTCTAAAAAAACAAAAACCTGCTTTGGTCACTTGAACTTTGCCCAAGGTCAGCTGTGTTTTTGCTTTTCGTTGTGTATATCTTCCACGTGGGTTAGCTGTATTTAAGAGACTGATTTTGTACAAAGGATGAGAAGGTTGTGGCTGTGAGTTAGGCTGTGGCATGTTACTACCTCCCACTTAGGTGTTGTTTTTGAGGTAACCCAAGTCCCTGTTAGCTTTTCACACAGCACTATTGATAATGGTCATGGAAAGACTTTTAATTTGGTTCTTGCTGCCATCGTTTCCTTACCAGAATGGCACCAATTTCTCCTAAGACGTATTCATGTCTATCACATTTGTCTTTGCCAGGAACTTTCAGGACCAGCTTCGAATGGAGGGATCAGCCAGACAAACACCTATGACGCCCAGTATGAGAGGTGATTGACTGACGTGACTCTGGAATAAACCAGGGTGAACACAGGCCTGGACACAGGCGAGCAGACGCGTGGCACTGTGCATTTGGTCCTCAGGCAGATGTACGGTGCCACAAACTGGCAGGAAAGACTAGAAAAAGTAGGCCAGGAGCGGTGGCTCACGCCTATAATCCCAGCATTTTGGGAGGCCGAGGCAGGCGGATCACGAGGTCAGAAGATTGAGACCATCCTGGCTAACACGGTGAAACCCTGTCTCTCCTAAAAAAAATACAAAAAATTAGCCGGGCATGGTGCCAGGCACCTGTAGTCTCAGCTACTCGGGAGGCTGAGGCAGGAGAATGGCAAACCCAGGAGGCGGAGCTTGCAGTGAGCCGAGATCGCGCCACTGCACTCCAGCCTGGGCGATAGAGCGAGACTCCGTCTCAAAAAAAAAAAAGACTAAAGTGTTGGCTCTCTTGCTTCCTCTTGTGGCAGTTACTTATAATAACTCTAGACTCTTGATAGCAAGTTTCCAGGAATGGGTGATAGAATTGCTGACTGGTTCACAGGTCAGTGCCATTGGGGGAAACGTACTGAGTCAGTTTTTTCTGATTGGTTTGATCTTCTATGAATGATGTATGATCACAGGGCCTAGATGTCCTCAGTGGGAAGTTTATATAATTGTAAAGATAAGGAAGTTTGGAGGAACAGCTCCAGAGATTACGGGAAAAACCGCGAGGATTCATTTTACGAAGACTTATACTTAAGGTGTCTATGAGAGCCTGTTGATGAAGAACCTGAGTTTTGCTTTAAAACAGATCCAAGTTCAATTCCCAGCCCTATCACTTACTGGTTGGGTGGTCTTGGGCAAGATTGTGGGGTTTCTCACCCGTATACAACACCTACACCGCCAGTTATGTGGGATTAATTGGCATCATGCATATTAAATGCCTGGCACAGTGTGCCCTTGGTAAGCGGTTAAGAAATGTAGTTACTGCTGCCACCATGATGATGATAGTAGTGACTCTCCCTTTTTATCTGTTTTCCAACCCAGGGCCATCCAGGAGAGCCTCCTCACCAGCACAGAAGGCCTGTGCCCCAGCGCCCTGAGCGAGACAAGCCGTTTTGATAATGACTTGCAGCTAGCCATGGAGCTCTCTGCCAAAGAGCTGGAGGAATGGGAGCTCCGGCTCCAGGAGGAAGAGGCTGAGCTCCAGCAAGTCTTACAGCTGTCACTCACTGACAAATAGACCTTTCAGCCTGTGAGCCTCTGCACAAAGCAGAGGCTGTGGGCTGTCACAGATGCTGTGTCAACCAGGGCCCTAGGGCTAAGGGCCTGCACCTTGCGTGCATGCAGCAGGCAACAACTGCCCCTTCTTTATGCAGAGGTGCAGAACCAGGGACTCCTGGGCCCATCCAGGCTGCTCCCTGGGGTGGAGAAGGGACCAGGGATTGCAGGCCCCATCTCCAGGCTAAGGGGAGGAGAGCATCATCACTTTCCATTAGCTGTATTGGCTTGCAGGTCACATTTTTACTACCAGCTTTAGACAAAACCCCAATCCCCGCAGGTTTGTAGATAAATTTTTATCAAGGAGTGATAACAAGACAAGTTATTGCAGAGTCAGGGTGCTTTTATATATAAGAGCAGCAGCCGCCTTTGTAAAGTGTGATCTATGAGAATTGGAGACACTTCTTTACTGTTCACCAAAGAAATGGGTAATCTGTGCTGATCTCCTTATTTTTACCTTTTTACAGGGTTTCTAGGACATTGTCATTATTCTTCCTCCATCTATCTGATTCCATTCCTTCCACACCCAGCTAAAGTTAGAGGAGATACATATAGAATCTATTTTAGATTATTGTTAACTATTTGCATCAAATTAAGATACACAAATGGCCATGGATGTTGCCTTAGCCTTAAACATTACTAATAGTTTCACATCACCTCACTGCACGCATCGAAGGATCTGATTTGAATTTGTAAAGGCAATTCTTTTGAGAGCAGGATTCTCCAGGCTAAATCAAAGGCAGCTAATCCTGTCCCTGAAGGAGCAGCTAGGGGAACCTGAGGCTTGTTCTTGAAGTGGGCAAGCTGGCCAAAATATTGGAACACACAGAACCAAACCAGGTGTGTTCTACACCTGCATGAGTGAAGGATTTCCACGTAGACACCTAGGAAGAGCCCGCATGCCCTAGACTCACTCCAGAGGAAGGATTGATTTGCAACCAGAAAGGGAGCTGAAAACCACGGAGCTCCATGGCTCTTCATTCAAAAGGGAAAATAATGATTCCACGTTGCTTTTTAGAGTTCAAATCAACATCTTTCTGGATAAATCTATTTTTTAACAATCTTTTTATTATTTGTAAAAGATATAAAAACAACTCCCATCAGTAGCAATACAAGGTTATACATTTTAACCAGATTTTCTCAGGCCTTTTTTGGATACCTTTAGTAGTTAACTCTCTTTTGTCAAACCCTCTTGTATATAACCATCGCACAACATACAGAACCCTGGGGAATACAGCCAAGGGCACTGCTCACTGTGGCCCGTGTATTCATTCCCACAGGCTGCACTGAAATAACCTGGTAAACAACACCCTCCTCCATTTTGCGTCTATTTCTTCTATTGTGCTTCTTTGGGGATAGGAAGAGAAACATAACTACTGTTCCAGGTAACGTCTGTATCATACAGTTAGTGTTGCCAGTGAAACGTTCCCAGATACAAAGAATTGTGCTTTTAATTCCATTTCACAATCTGTTTTGTTTTTTTTTTTTGTCATTGTCTGACCAAAATTCCTTCTGCACATGAGGCCAGTATAGGCAACGTCACATTTGTTTGTTTCAAATATGCAGTGTGGTATTTTGTTTACTTTGCATTTACCGTGAGCAAAGATACTTCTTGGAATGGCTGCAGTGAGGCCGTGTCATTGGCTCACAAAAGTGACTCATAGGTAATTTCTGTGTTTGCATTCCACTGCTCTGCTCCCTAAGGTCCTTGACTTTCTCCCCAGGAATTCACTTAAAAAGGGACTGAGCATTGTGTCAACCTGTTGCAGTGTTTTTCATATATGTGTTCACTCTAAAAATGCAAATAAAGACTGCTTCCTTAGAGGGTGCTCATACAAAATTCCAGTCTTTGAGTCTTTTTCCTTTTCAGTTTTTTCTAGTCACTGGATGTACCCACACTTCCTGTTACGTATGTCAGTAGAACATTAGAATGCCTCACTTCGCTCAGTTCATCACTGCAAAGGTGGCATGCTCCTCCCAGCCTTCCTGCCCAGGTTAACAAGCCCCATGCTGCTTGTTTCAAATGGCAACTAAAAGCAAGCCAGTGTTGGGCTGTTCTGACACCTCTGTGGTCCTCCTGGAGGGGAACTGGCTCTTGTGGGGTAAGGGAAGCCCAGCCAACATCAAAGCTCTGCATCAATGCTATCCCTTGAAGCCAACTGCTTTGTGAGGCTGTTCCTAGAAGTCCAGATGATAAGGCTTCCAAACTCTTCCTATATCTAAATAAGCGGGTATTAAAAACAACAAAGGCAGTGGCCAGTAGAAATGTATGGGTTCCAGAAATGAGGCTGTATTTCTGGGAAGATGTAAAGGAGCTGCTTTGCTTTTAGGGGAAAGTAGATATCAATACTTTGAAGCCACAAGGACACTATGAAGAAAACCATTACTCTTTCAGGTCAAGAGGTGCAATGACTATGGATTATTTAAAAACTGAAAAGCTAAGCTTGAGTGGCCCAATATCAGCAGGAAGTGGTTTTTTTTTTTTGTTTGTTTGTTTTCCTGAGACGGAGTTTTGCTCTTGTTGCCCAGGCTGGAGTGCAATGGCGCGATCTTGGCTCACTGCAACCTCTGCCTCCCGGGTTCAAACGATTCTCCTGCCTCAGCCTCCCGAGTAGCTGGGATTACAGGCGTGTGCCACCATGCCTGGCTTATTTTTGTATTTTTAGTAGAGACGGGGTTTCACCATGTTGGCCAGGCTGGTCTCGAACTCCTGACCTCAGGTGATCCACCCGCCTCGGCCTCCCAAAGTGCTGAGACTACAGGCATGAGCCACCGCACTCGGCCAGAAACTTTAATTGAGCAACTTCTGCACGTTAGACACTGCTAGGAACTAAGTTCCTAAGGCACTCTGCTCTATAAACAAGCTTGTCACACTACATAAACGTGGCATGTCAAGGGATTGAAAGTCTGCTCTAAATAATGACAGGAAAGGGAAACTGCCATAACTGCCAGCTTGGTCGCAGTCTCCTGCTGACCACAAATGACATCAAGGAAGATGAACTGGATGTGGAGATTTCAAGTGATTCAGTGGTACAGTGAGTGATGAAGTTCAAAGTACCACCTAGGCCTCTGTTTAGAAATATGTGTAGGTTTAAGCCTGAGGTCCAGGTGGAAAAAAATACAACATGCTGATATGACTCCACAGTCACTAAATCATAGGCAGCACTAGGAGACTTTTATCTCAACTTTAGGCCAGGCGCAGTGGCTCACGCCTGTAATCCCAGCACTTTGGGAGGCCAAGGCAGGTGGATCACCTGAGGTCAGGAGTTTGAGACCAGCCTGGCCAACATGGTGAAACCCCATCTCTACTAAAAATACAAAAAAATTAGCCAGGCATGGTGGCTCATGCCTGTAATCCTGGCTACTCTGGAGGCTGAGGCAGGAGAATCGCTTGAACCCGGGAGGTGGAGGTTGCAGTGAGCCAACAATGCACCATTGCACTCTAGCCTGGGCAACAGGAACCAAACTCCGTCTCAAAAAAAGAAATTTCACTTCACAGAGCTTCTTTAAGTGATTAGATCAAATTCAGACACACACCTGCATTTCAAACACTTGGGAAATAACTGGTGGAGTAAAACAATATATAGGATTTTACTTTAGTTTTAATTGACGTTTTGCTCAAAAGCAAAGAACTGAACATTTCAATGGTTCAATGTTACAAGATTACAAACAAAATCCTTACACAGTTACAGTATCCTACTTCGGTTACTTCACATTAAATGCAGGTTGTTAAAATCAGTGCTGTGCTTGAACACAAGATAAGCATTTCAATTTAATAACAAAATTAAATCTAGCACCTTGAAATAAATATTGACGACAGCTTTATAAGTATGAAAGTATCATTTCAATAGGAGGAAAAAATCCAGTTCACCAACAGTGGAAACTAATAGCAGCATTTTCAAAGCTGAGATGAAATTTGTGTAAACACACACTGGCCCGCACAGTGGACATGCACTTCTGTTGGCTGGGCCCTCCCCACCCAGGGATGAACAGAGTGCCCACTGAGCCTTTTACATTCCAAATCTGGAAAGCTGCCTCAAGTTTCAGACCGTGGGCTAGAAAGACTCAAATGCAGGGCAAGGGAGATCAATGTGTTTAAGCAGGATGGGGTCCTTTTTGTAACAGGCCAACCTAGTAACATTTCCAGTCCAACTTCAGAGCATTCCAGGCCAAAGGTGCATATAGTAACAGGTCTACCTGATGTGACCCTGACTTCAGGGGGAGCACCTGAGTGCAGGGCAGGATGCAGGTGAGGAACGAGGGCCCAAGATCCCCACAGCTGACACCACTTTGCAACCAGCGCATTCTAGGCTAACTCAGGTGAGATTAAAAAAAAAAATCTGTGATTCTTAACCCACTGTAACCAAATGGTTCTTAAATAGGGAATGTCTGCATGGTAAGTCTCCTTCTTAATAACATTTTCAAGCATTAATGATGAGTTCTTTACAGTGTGGTTCTTACAGGCACTCACAAGGTTACCATGTTTTCTTTCTCATGAACACTCCATCTTTACACTGACCTTTGGAGCTTTCAGGTCTTACTTTTAACAAGTACAGTCAGAAACACTGAGAAGCGGACTCAGGGGCCAATTATTTGCGCTACAGTGTTAGGAAAAAATAATGTCTAGTACATGTTTTCTTCTAATTCATTTAGCATTTACCAACTGTCCAGACCAAAGGTCATTTCCAAGTAGGAAAGTTTTGGTTCCAACTTCTCCACTGGCCTGTGTGCAACACAACTTATCCTATTCCCAAATACTCATTGAAGAACTTGTCTGGCTGTCACCGACGCCGAATGGGCTTGTAGACACAAAATGCCATAAGGATGACAGTCACCAGCAGGATGCTGAAAATGGTTCCCATCAACACTGCAAAGGGAAAACAGGTTACTTCCTAATGGCAGCTCCAGGTTAGGCAATTCATCCACTCACTGCCAATGATTTATCAAATGCCACTTGCTGCCAGGCACTATGTCAAGTGCTGTGCAAACAGCTGTAAACAGATCCTCTCTCCAGTTGTCTCTAAATATAGTTGGGGGAGAAACAAACAGATGAGAGCATTTCACATAGCTTGATATACCGTGAAAAAAAAAAACAGTAACATGCTAGGGATGGAGACAGGGTGGGCAGCAAGAAGGGGGGACAGTCAGGAAGCATCCGAGGAGGAGACTCACAAACTAAGACAGGCCGAGTGTGGTGGCTCGTGTCTGTAATCTCAGCACTTTGGGAGGCCTAGGTGGGTGGATCACTTGAGGTCAGGAGTTCGAGACTAGCCTGGCCAACATGGTGAAACCCCGTCTCTACTAAAAATACAAAAATTGGCCAGGTGTGGTGGCATCCGCCAGCTACTCAGGAGGCTACTCCTGAGCTACTCAGCTACTCAGGAGGCTGAGGCAGGAGAATCGCTTGAACCCGAGAGGCGGAGGTTACAGTGAGCCGAGATTGCGCCACTAAGCGACAGAATGAAACTCCACCTCAAAAAAAAAAACAACAACAAAAAACTGAGACCTTACGAGTGAGGCTCTGCAGGGAGCATGCTGCAGGCCCACAGATCAGCTAAGGAAGGGCCTTGAGGCCAGTATAAGCCCAATACACTCAGTGAACAGAAGGGAGGCAACCAGGCAAGGAGTGCAGGAAGAGAGGCAGGAAATCAGGCCAGAAAGGAAGGCTGGGGCTGGTCTGTGCAAGGCCTTGGAGACCATGAAGAAAACACGGATTTTAAGTTTAAAGAGAAGCCACTAGGGGGCTGTAGGCAAAGGAATGACATCATCTGATTTAGTCGGAAAAAAAAAAAAAGATTCCTCTGGCTTTTGTGTGGAGAATTGTTTGACTATAGGGGAGCAAGAGAGCAGGATGCCCAACTATGCCTTTAAAGCCATTAATAAAAACCTGGAGATTCAATAAAGTATTTCAGTCTCAAGATGAGTCTTGACAGGGCCTTTTGAGCAAAGAAGCAACTAACTCACAAATCTGCTATGTTTGGCTGGGTGCGGTGGCTCATGCCTGTAATCCCAGCACTTTGGGAGGCCGAGGCAGGCGGATCACGAGGTCAGGAGTTCGAGACCAGCCTGGCCAATATAGTGAAACCATGTCTCTACTAAAAATACAAAAAAAATTAGCCAGGTGTGGTGGTGTGTGCCTGTAGTCCCAACTACTCAGGAGGCTGAGGCAGGAGAATTGCTTGAACCCAGGAGGCAGAGGTTGCAGTGAGCCAAGCTTATACCACTGCACTCCAGCCTGGGCAATAGAGGGAGACTCTGTCTCAAAAAAAAACAAAAACAAAAAAAAAAATGTTACGTTTTTAAGACTAAATTTCACATCTGAAATTTTCAAGGTGCTCAGGTGAGAAATGGGAACTACAACTGATTACTCAAGTTGAGCCCTGGTGATACAGGATAAGGACCTGGGCTTTAAACTACTACATAACAAAAAAAAAAAAATAAAGAAAAAAAAAAACTAGCGTAACCAGCAACCTGTCAGAGGTTTCTTCAACAGCAGCAGTGATACGCAATCTTGTTTCTGTAACTATCTCAGCGATCTTGGGAAGCATTCAAAACAAGCAAATGTACACTGATGTGTGTCTGTAGGGATGTGGGCCCATCCCAGGTTCCAGCTAGGGCCTAACCATGGTTGTTCTTCAGTCTCATTACTGTTCCTTTGAAAAACCAAGATTTAGCCAGGCAAGGGGGCTCATGCCTATAATCCCAGCACTTTGGGAGGCCAAGGCAGGCAGATCACGAGGTCAGGAGTTTGAGACCAGCCTGGCCAACATGGTGAAACCCCATCTCTACTAAAAATACAAAAATTAGCCGGACATGGTGGCGGGCACCTGTAATCCCAGCTACTCAGGGGGCTGAGGCAGGAGAATCGCTTGAACCCCAGACGCGGAGGTTGCAGCGAGCCGAGATCGCACCATTGCACTCCAGCCTGGGCGACAGGGACTCTGTCAAAAAAAAGAAAACAAAACAAAAGAAAAACCAAGATTTGACCATAGTTTTATTTAAATCAGTAACTTTGTAGTATCTGTGACCCCCCCACCCCACACACACCCTCCACGCTTAAACCGGTTATTATTTTAAAACCGACTATACAGAAAAATCAGGCCAGGTGCAGTGGCTCACGCCTGTAATCCCAGCACTTTGGGAGGCCAAGGCAAGCAGATCACCTGAAGTCGGGAGTTCGAGACCAGCCTGACCAACATGGAGAAACCCTGTCTCTATTGAAAATACAAAATTAGCTGGGCGTGATGGTGCATGCCTGTAATCCCAGCTACTTGGGAGGCTGAGGCAGGAGAATTTCTTGAACCCGGGAGGCGGAGGTTGCGGTGAGCCAAGATCACGCCACTGCACTCCAGCCTGGGCAACAAGAGCGAAACTCCGTCTCAAAATAAAAAAAAAGAAAAGAAAAGAAAATTCATCTTTTTTTGGTGAGTGAGGGGGAAGAAGGAAGGAGAAGGTGACAAAGACAGCATGTCATAACTCCAAAGGCCAGAAGTAATTTTAAGATCTTTGTCAAACAAAATCTCCAACCTACGTGAACTAAATGTCATGTCTTAAAATAGCCCTTGTTAACTGAATACCTGCCCTAATTTTCAAAAGTCCTGAATTCTGAGTTTCTATGGTTTGGACTACAATTGGACTTAAAGTTGTCTTATTCCATTTAAGAACATTTTCTTGCATCTCGCATTTTGGAAGAACTCCAAAAAAAATTTAAAACTCTCGGCTGTGCGCAGCGGCTCAAGCCTGTAATCCCAGTGAGAGGCCAAGGCGGGCGGATCACAAGATCAGGAGATCGAGACCACTCTGGCTAACGTGGTGAAACCCCGTCTCTACTAAATATACAAAAATTAGCTGGGCATGGTGGCGGGCACCTGTAATCCCAGCTACTCGGGAGGCTGAGGCAGGAGAATCACCTGAACCAGGGAGTCGGGGGTTGCAGTGAGCCAAGATCGCGCCACTGCACTGGCCTGGCAACAGAGCGAGACTCCATCTCAAAAAAATAAAAAATAAAAAACTTAAAACTCCCAAAGCAGGAATGCAGAAGATTGGAATTGGGGAATGGAAATCTACCTTTAAAAAATAAAAAAGGCCAGGCGCAGCGGCTCACACCTGTAATGCCAGCACTTTGGGAGGCCGAGATGGGCAGATCACTTGAGATCAAGACTTCGAGACAAGCCTGGCCAACATGGAGAAACCCCCTCTGTACTAAAATTACAAACATTAGCCGGGCACGGTGGTGGGTGCCTGTAATCCCAGCTACTTGGGAGGCTTAGGCAAGAGAATCACTTGAACCTGGGCGGTGGAGGTTGCAGTGAACCAAGATCATGCCATTGCACTCCAGATTGGGCAACAGAGTGAGACTCCATATAAAAAATAATAATAAAAATAAAGTTTAAAAAGGAGCTTAAAACCATGAGTTGTTAGGTACACAATGGCCATGCATTTGGGGCCTGATCAATTCTCCCAGTCGTCATCTTTTCACTTCTCCCTACACTTTGCATGCAGTGACAGTTGCCTGAATTGCAGGCCCAGGCAGAACCTTAAAAGAATGTTTTAGGGCGGGCGTGGTGGCTCACACCTGTAATCCCAGCACTTTGGGAGGCCACAGTGGGCAGTTCATGAGGTCAAGAGATCGAGACCATCCTGGCCAACATGGTGAAACCCCATCTCTACTAAAAATACAAAAATTACCTGGGCGTGGTGGCACACGCCTGTGGTCCCAGCTACTCAAGAGGCTGAGGCAGGATAATTGCTCGAACCCAGGAGGCGGAGGCTGCAGTGAGCTGAGACCGCACCACTGCACTCCAGCCTTGGCAACAAGAGCAAAACTCCATCTCAAAAAAATAAATAAATACCAACTGTACGGAACTGTCTAGGACAGCATTTCTCAAACTATCTATGGCAAAGGAGTAGTTTTTATAATTTCTAGTCTGTCCCAGACCACTACATAGCCCTACTGTGCATGACTAATAACCAGTTCCCTTCATCTGCAAAGCATTCCAGTTCAGAGACACCTAGAACTGGTCTCTAAGTGCTTGGATGTTGCAACAATGTCAAACTGTTAAGTTTCTAAACACTCTCAATTTCTGTAGTCATCTCTTTGCAGATAACATAGTTTGCAGACTCACACTGGTCTGCAGACTACCCTTTGAGTAGTACTGTTCCACAGCAGTGGGTATCCAATGGGGATTTGGCGTACCGTGGACATTTGGCAATGTCTGGAGAGATTTTGACTATCTTGATTAGGAGTAGGGGGTGCTACTGGTATCTAAAGGCTGGGGATGCCACCAAACTTCTTACAGTGTTTATCATAGCCCCCCCACTGCCCCTCGCCCCCTGAAATCATTTATCCAACATGTCGTAATATCCAGGTTGAGAAACCCTGTTCTGAAGGATCGAGTGGGATAATGTGTGGAAACTATTTAGTAGAGTGCTAGGTACACAGTAAGTCGTCAACACATGGCAAACACTGAGTTCATGTAGAGTCAAGATAATCCAAAATGATACTAATAGCCACTTTGTAGATATACAGATGTACCAAGGAGATACAGTGGGAAGGGAAGACTTTGGCGAGGGGCAGATTTATTGTGAAGTTTGCCAAGCTTTAAGTTCCAGAACTCCTTCCAAAGCCAAAGCCATGCACACACACATATTTACGCAGCGTGTGTGTGTGTTGAAGATATCCTCCCACAACTTATGTTTCAAGCCCCCAAACAGGTTCTAGTATTGGCCTCATCATTTCCTAGCTATGTAACTTTGGGCAAATAACTTCACTTCTCTGAGTTTCATTTTCCTTATCTGAAAAATAGAGCTGCAACATCAGGTGCGGTGGCTCACACTTGTAATCCCAACACTTTGGGAGGCCGAGGCAGGAGGATTGCTTGAGCCCAAGAGTTCGAGACCCCCACCTCTACAAAAAGTAAACAACAACAACAACAAAATGAGCCAGGTGTGGTGGTGCACGCCTGTAGTCCCAGCTACTCGCCCGGGATGCTGAGGTGGCAGGATCACTTAAACCCAGGAGGCCGAGGCTGCAGTGAGCCAAGATCGTGCCACAGCACTCCAGCCTGGGTGACAGAGGAGACACTATTGTAAAAGAAAAAAAAAGGGCTGCAAACCGTACGTTTCTCATTAAGTTATTGTAAGGCTCAAATGAATTCGCGTATACAAAGTGCGTAGCACAAGACATGGGATGTAGGAAATGCTCAAAAACTGTTATCATTTTTGCAATAAATACTGGCTCCTCTGGGAAAGAAGAGGGGTGGGGTAAATGATGTGCCTTGTTGCCTAGCCTGAGCCCACACTGCCAGAGAGGAGAGGACCCAGAATGAGACCCAGGTCTCCCGATTGCAGTTCATTCATGGGCAAGCAGTACATATTGAGAGCTTACTGGACACCATGCCAGGCTTGAGACCAGCCTGGCCAACATAGTGAAACCCCATCTCTACTAAAAATACAAAAATTAGCCAAGTGTGGTGGTGTGCGCCTGTAATCCCAGCTACTCGGCAGGCTGAGGCAGGAGAATTGCTTGAACCTGGGAGGCGAAGGTTCTGGCACATATTGAGCACTTGCTGAGAGGCAAAGTTCAGGCCTTCTGCCCCAGGCTTTTGGAGAGGGAGTCTCGGGGCCCCCTGAGGGGCCTCACCTGCACCCCCCGCACTCACCCATCTCCCCACTCTATCCCCTGTCCGCTCCGTACATGCCCGGCTCCAGCACCCGGAGCAGTGAAAGCTCAGGCACTACCCGCCGCCCGCCAGCCCGAGGGCCGCTCACCCAGGTTCTGCCCTCGCAGCACCGCGTACGGCCGGCTCCGCTCCAGCGGATCCACGGGGCTCGGGGCCTCTGCCTCCCCCACCAGGAGGCTGCAGAGGCCAAGGTACAGCCACGGTAACGCTGGACGCAGCATCTTCCCCAGCCCTGCAGAAGCAGAGAGGCCACTTCCGTCGCAAGCCCTGCCTCTGTCTCCTCCCAGGTCTCTCTGCGTCGCTGCCACCGCCCTTAGGGCGCGCGTCATTGCCATGGTAACTGTGCGTCCTGGTCTAAGTTCCGCTTCTGCCTAAGATTTGTTCCGGATTAACGTTCCTCAATAACTAATGTTTCCCCCGGACCAACTTTCCGTTCAGATCAACTTTCCGTCTGTGCCAACGTTCGCCGCGATTACCGTTCTGCTGTGGTTAGCGTTCCCTCATCCATTGGGGTCGAGGTCTTGTAGGTCCATTTGGGGCCTATTGAAGATTTTTTACGAATCCATGCATTTTCTTATTAAACCTTCATTACGGGCCTGGAAAATAGATACTGTGTTTCTATAGTACAAATGCCATCTTCTCAGGGAGCCCTTGCCCAGACATCCTTTTCTAAAATTGCAACCCTCCCTTTCCCTTAATGTACATTCTCCCTACCTTCGTTCTCTTCCATTCCCCCCATTCACTTTAGACTCATCACCATTTACCTTATACATTTAACGTACATTTGATGATTTTCTGAGGACCTGCTCCGCCCTAGCATGTAAAGTCCACGAGCACAGCGATTTTGTTCTTGCTCTCTGCTCTGTCCCAGAGACTGGGGGAGAGAGAGACCCTCTCATTTTGTTTTATATTGTTTTATACTCAGTACCTGTTTTAAGAAGAAACAACAAGGAAGTGAAACCAAAGACGGGCAGCCCGGCGCCAGGCCCGAAACCAGGCCTGGGCCTGCCTGGCCTAAACCCAGTTTCATGTGTGTGAAGAGACCACCAAACGTGTGTGAAGAGACCACCAAACAGGCTTTGTGTGAGCAACATGGCTGTTTATTTCACCTGGGTGCAGGCGGGCTGAGTCCGAAAAGAGAGTAAGCAAAGGGTGGTGGATTATCATTAGTTCTTACAGGTTTTGGGATAGGCGGTGAAGTTAAGAGCAATGTTTTGCGGGCAGGGGTGGATCTCACGAAGTACATTCTCAAGGGTAGGGAGAATTACAAAGAACCTTCTTAAGGTTGGGGGAGATTACAAAGTACCTTAAGGGTGGGGGAGATTACAAAGTACATTGATCAGTTAGGGTGGGGCAGAAACAAATCACAATGGTGGAATGTCATCAGTTAAGGCTATTTTTACTTCTTTTGTGGATCTTCAGTTACTTCAGGCCATCTGGATGTATACGTGCAAGTCACAGGGGATGCGATGGCTTGGCTTGGGCTCAGAGGCCTCACACCCAGTAGCTAAAAATCAACTCATAACTTAGAAACCGATGTTATTCATAGATTCCAGACATTGTATAGAAGAACGTTGTGAAACTCCCTGCCCTGTTCTGTTTCTCTCTTACCACTGGTGCATGCAGCCCCTGTCACGTACCACCTACTTGCTCAAATCAATCACGACCCTTTCATGTGAAATCTTTAGTGCTGTGAGGAGCCCTTAAAAGGGACAGAAATTGTGCATTCGGGGAGCTCGGATTTTAAGGCAGTAGCTTGCCGATGCTGCCAGCTGAATAAAGCCCTTCCTTCTACAACTCGGTGTCTGAGAGGTTTTGTCTGCGGCTCGTCCTGCTACAAGACTAGAAGAGTAGCATATTATATTCAGTAACTGTTTGCTGAATACATGAGGGAATTGAGCTAAGTGTTTGGCCCAACACTGCACACACAAAGTGGCAGAGCTAGAATTTGACCCAAGCATAGTTTTGAATCTGGAGGCTTTACCACCTCACACATTGCCTCACCTCCTGAAGGTTTGATTTGTAGTGGGATTAGTATCATTCACCTCACAATGGATGTGCAATACAAATGTCAGAGGCGTGTGAACCAGAGCAACTCCATCTTAAATAGGAGCTGGGTAAAATGAGGCTGAAACCTACTGGGCTGAATTCCCAGACGGTTAAGGCATTCTAAGTCACAGGATGATATAGGAGGTCAGCACAAAATACAGGTCATAAAGACCTTGCTGATAAAACAGGTTGCAGTAAAGGAGCCTGCTATAAACCACCAAAACCAAAATGGTGACAAGAGTGACCTCTGGTCGTCCTCACTGCTACACTCCCAGCAGCGCCATGACAGTTTACAAATGCCATGGTAATGTCAGGAAGTTACCCTATATGGTCTAAAAGGGGGAGGCATGAATAATCCACCCCTCGTTTAGCGTATCATCAAGAAATAATCATAAAAATGCCTAACCAGCAGCCCTCGGGGGCTACTCTGTCTATGGAGTAGCCATTCTTTTATTCCACTACTTTATTAATAAACTTGCTTTCACTTTGCACTGTGGACTTGCCCTAATTCTTTCTTGCGCTAGATCCAAGAACCCCCTCTTGGGGTCTGGATCGGGACCCTTTTCCTGTAACGTATTTCTGGCAACCACAGAAGGGACTATAGTGCAGAAACCTGACCCAATGGCTACCTTTGGGTAAGTGTTGGGGTCCGTTAACACTACCAGGTGTTCACCTGCAAAGGGAAGGTGTAATCTGCCATGTTAAAGACACTGTGCACCAACTTCTTCATTTCTTTCTCCACGATCTCCTCTTTCACTTCTGCTGTCCTTTTCACCTTGCTGTGCACAGAACTGATGACAGGCTCTTTCCACTGGTACAGCTTGCCACTCACCAGAGCAAAGCTAAATGGCAGGCACAGGAAAGCATCAATGGGAGGCATAGCACAGTGGGGTGGGAGGCAGGCTCTGCAGGCCACTTCCGTTCCAATCCTAGCTCGGCTGCATGACTTGCTTCCGTGTGACTCGTTTTCCCTCTCTGCACAATGGGAAGCATAATCATACCTGCCTCATGAATTGTGAGGATCAAATGATATATGTCTGCAAACTCCTTTGCCCAGTATCTGGCACATACTGAGCACTCGCTATAGGAAAGCTGCTGCCCCCAATCTCATTTTTTTTTTTTAAATGGAGTCTTGCTCTGTCGCCCAGGTTGGAGTGCAGTGGTGTGATCTCGGCTCACTGCAACCTCCGCCCCCTAGGTTGAAGCGATTCTCCTGCCTCAGCATTCTGAGTAGCTGGGATTACAGGCGCACGCCACCACACCAGGCTAATTTTTGTATTTTTAGTAGAGACAGGATTTCACCATGTTGGGCAGGCTGGTCTTGAACTCCTGACCTCATGATCTGCCTGCCTTGGCCTTCCAAAGTGTTGGGATTACAGGTGTGAGCCACCATGCCCGGCCCCCAATCCCATTCTTTAACATTGCCTAACATGGACCCTCATGGATAGGACAGCTTCTCAAGTCATAAAGTCCCACTCCAGTGGGTTCACCAGCTTGCACCTTCTAGTCAAAGGCTGTGTCTGGTGCATTTCCAGAAACACCCACCTGCTTTATCAATAACATTGAAAATGGCAGCTACTCTTTTTTTTTTTTTTTTTTTTTTTTTGAGATGGAGTCTCACTCTGTCGCCCAGGCTGGAGTGCAGTGCAAGCTCCGCCTCCTAGGTTCATGCCATTCTCCTGCCTCAGCCTCCCAAGTAGCTGGGACTACAGGTGCCCGCCACCACGCCTGGCTAATTTTTTGTATTTTTTTTTAGTAGAGACGGGGTTTCACCGTATTGGCTATGATGGTCTCGATCTCCTGACCTCATGATCCGCCCGCCTTGGCCTCCCAAAGTGCTGGGATTACAGGCATGAGCCACCGTGCCCGGCCTTCTTTTTTTTTTTTTGAGACGGAGTCTCGCTCTGTTGCCCAGGCTGGAGTGTAGTGGCACAATCATAGCTCACTGCAGCCTCCAACTCCTCAGCTCAAGTCGATCCTCCCACCTCAGCCTCCTGAGTAGCTGGAACTACAGGTGTGTACCACCACGCCTGGCTAATTTCTATTATTTTTTCTAGAAACAGGGGTCTCTTTATGTTGCCCAGGCTGGTCTCAAACTCATGGCCTCAAGCGATTCTCCACCTCAGCCTCCCAAAATGTTGTGGTTACAGGTGTGAGCCACCACACCAGGCTGCAGGAGCTACTCTTTATTGGGCACTTAATACGTGCCAAGTGCTCTACATGCAACATCCCCTTTAATCCTCACAACAGTAGGAGATAGTTACTGTGACTGATTACATGCATGTGCCATCGCGTCCAGCCTAAAGAGTTTGTTTTAAATGCTTTGTTTACTCATTCAGTTTATTTATTTAGTCCCTTCTTTCTGCCCAGCTGCTGAATAATATTAGCAAGTCTAAGATGATGGCTGCCCTGTATGAGCTGACCTTGGGAAGCTGAGACAGAGTGGGCCAAGACTCAGCCCCAGCTGTTCTCCACCTTGGCTATGTAACCACCCAGGGAGCTTTCAAAATTGCAGCTCCCCAGATCCATCCCTGGAGACTATGATTTCGTGAGTCTGGGGAGTTATCCAGATACCTATATATTTGTTAAAAGTTCATGGCTGGGCGCAGTGGCTCACGCCTGTATTCCCAGCACTTTGGGAGGCCAAGGTGGGCGGATCACAAGGTCAGGAGATCAAGACCATCCTGGCCAACATGGCGAAACCCTGTCTCTACTAAAAATAGGAAAATTACCTGGGCGTGGTGACACATGCCACCTACTCAGGAGGCTGAGGCAGGAGAATCACTTGAAGTCAGGAGGTGGAGGTTGCAGTAAGCCAATATCGTGCCACTGTACTCCAGCCTGATGACAGAGCTAGACTGTCTCAAAAAAAAAAAAAAAAGTTCCCAGGTGAGACTGGGCACGGTGGCTCACGCCTGTAATCCCAGCACCTTGGGAGGCCGAGGTGGGTGGATCACTCAAGACCAGAAGTTCGAGACCAGCCTGGCCAACATGGTGAAACTCCATCTCTACTAAAAATACAAAAATTAGCCAGGTTTGGTGGTGTGCACCTATAATCCCAGCTACTCCGGAGGCTGAGGCAGGAGAATTGCTTGAACCTGGGAGGCAAAGGTTGCAGTGAACCGAGATTGCACCACTGCACTCCAATCTGGGTCACAAAGCAAGACTCTGTCTTGGGGGGAAAACAAAAAAGTTCCCAGCTGATTCTAATGCATAGCCAGGGCTGAGGACCACTGGGAGGCTCCTGAAAAGATAGCTCATATTTGTCAATAGCAAGTACATTTGAAGAAGAGCATTCCTCATGACCCAGCAATAAAACTCTTATATATGTGCCCTAGAGAAACTCTTGTACATGTGCTGGAGTTATGGGCAAGAATGCTTCTGCAGCATTGCTTGTAAGAGGGAAAGCAAGACATAACCTAAATGTTCTCAAACAATAAATGGATAAATTGTTGGATTCATACAATGGGATGCTTTGGGCCAGGCGCGGTGGCTCATGCCTGTAATCCCAGTACTTTGGGAGGCTGAAGCAGGGGAATTGCTTGAGCCCAGGAGTTCGAGACCAGCCTGGACAACAGGACAAAACCCTGTCTTGACGAAAAATACAAAAATTAGCTGGGTGTGGTGGCACGAGCCTGTAGAGATGGAGGCCAAGGTGGGAGGATTGCTTGGGCCCAGGAGGTCAAGGCTATGGTAAGCTGTGATTGCACCCCTGCACTCCAGCCTGGGCGACAGAGCAAGACCCTGTCTCAAAAAAAATAATAAAATAAAATAATTTTAAAAATGGGATGCTTTGGAGCAGTGAAAATGAATTAACTAGAGCTGTGCATATCAACATGGAAATAACCTAACACTGAAAAAACAAAGCAAGCTGCAGTGTGATATAAAGTTTAGAGAAATCCAAAGCCACACCATGTACTCACAACTACCTATTCATGAATGTGCATAGCAGCACTATTCACATAACCCAAATGTTCATCTATGGATGAATGGATAGGCAAAATGTGGTCTATCCATTCAATGAGATATTATTCAGCCATAAAAAAGGAACAGGGTACTCATACATGCTATTACATCGATGAACCTTGAAAACATTATGTCTGCTACCTCAGAGAGGCTAGTCACAAAAGGCCACACATATTGATTGACTCCATTTATATGAAATACCCAGAATAGGTAAATCCATAGAGACAGAGAGTAGATTGGTAGTTGCAGGGGACAGAGGGAGGGAGAAATGGCGAGTGACTACTAATAGGCATGGGGTGTCCTTTTGGGGTGATGAAAATGATCTGGAACTAGATGTGGTGGTTGCACACCTCTCTGAAATGCCACTGAACTGTTCATGTTTACAGTGGTTAATTTTGTGTTATATGAACTTCACCCCAATAAAAAAGTAAAAATTATATTTTTTACATATGTAGACATATATGTGTTTAGAAATATAAAAACAAACAAGGGAATGACAAATGTCAAATTCAGGATTTCGTTTAGAGATGGAGTCTTGCTGTGTTGCCGAGGCTGGAACGCAGTGGCTATTTCACAGGTGCAGTCACAGCACACTACAGCCACAAACTCCTGGGCTCAAGAGATCCTCCAGTCTCAGCCTCCCAAATAGGTGGGACTGCAGGTGCAGCCACTGTGCCTGGCTGCAGGGTGTTTATAAAGGGAAAGGTCAGAGAATGAGATGAAGGATGAGTTTGCAGGGAGCAAAACTGGATTAGTAATGCTTTATTTGTTAAATTGGATGATGGTATGTGGGTGTTACATTATTCACAATACATTTTAGTATTTCTATAGCATTTATTTAAAAAGAAAGATTGTCAAGAAAGATGTTGAGCTAAGAGGTAAGAGATCCAGATTTGAGGCCTAATCAGCATATATGAGACGAAGCTTTTTTTTTTTTTTTTTGAGACAGAGTCTCCCTCTGTCACCCAGGCTGGAGTGCAGTGGCACTATCTCTGCTCACTGCAGCCTCCATCTCCTGGGTTCAAGCAATTCTCCTGCCTCAGCCTCCCTAGTATTACAGGCATGCGCCGCCACACCCAGCTATATTTTGTATTTTTAGTAGAGACAGGGTTTCACCATGTTGGCCAAGCTGGTCTCGAACTCCTGACTTCAGGTGATCCACCCACCTCAGCCTCCCAAAGTGTTGGGATTACAGGCGTGAGTCACCGTGCCTGGCAGAGACAGAGGTATTAAATAGAATTGTAACTGCTCAAAGGGTTCACCTTGCCTGCTGCCTAGACAGAGCCGATTCATCAAGACAGGGGAATTGCAATAGAAGAAGAGTAATTCGTGCAGAGCCAGCTGTGGGGGAGACCGGAGTTTTATTATTACTCAAATCTGTCTCCCCTAGCAATCAGGGAATGGAGTTTTTAAGGATAACTTGGTGGGTTGGGGGAAGCCAGTGTGCCAGGAGTGCTGATTGGTCAGAGATGAAATCATAGGGAGTCGAAGCTGTCTTCTTGTGCTGAGTCAGTTCCTGAGAAGGGGCCACAAGATCAGATGAGTCAGTTTACTGAGCTGATCCATCAAGTGCAGGGTCTGCAAAATATCTCAAGCACTGATCTTAGGAGCAGTTTAGGGAGGGTCAGAATCTTGTAGCCTCCAGCTGCATGACTCCTAAACCATCCCAACTACCTGGGAGGCTGAGGCAGGAAAATCGTTTGAACCTGGGAGGTAGAGATTGCAGTGAGCTGAGATTGCGCCATTGCACTCCAGCCTGGGCAACAGAGCCAGACTCTATCTCAAAAAAAAAAAAAAAAGTTTCAGTGCTGTGTCAAAGAAAAAAAAGAGGGAATGAAATCCAGTTTGCACACTTTACCTGTAGGAGGGGAATACTGTGATCACGAAACTGAGTTTGTGATGTCCTCCCTTTGGAAAGAAAGTACTAATGACCATCCCAGAAATACTATCCCGACCTTGCTTGGTGACTAAGGCAAGCCATGTCACCCTTCCAGGTGTTAGGTTTAATCCCTGAATGAAGAGAGAACTCTCAGCCTCCCTAACCCCAATGACCTTTTTGCTCTAAGAGGCTATAATTTTATGCATTCTACAGAAGGCAAAGCTGCTGGTGCCTGGAGCTAACAGGGGTGTGAAGAAGCTGAGGATTTTACTGGGCCGGGGAGGATGGGTAAATTTTGGGGGTGTGGTGGTGCATGCCTATAGTCACAGCTACTCATTAGGTGGAGGTGGGAGGATTCCTTGAGCCCAGGAGTTCAAGACCAGCCTGGGCAACACAGTAAGACTCCAGTCTCTTAAAAAGAAGAAGAAAAAGAGGAAAGCTGGAAAGAGTCTGGGAGGTAGAAGAGAGCTAATGGGAGAGAAGTTAGGGCCATTGATATGGTTTGGCTGTGTCCCCACCCAAATCTCATCTTGAATTGTAGCTCCCATAATTCCCACATGTTGTAGGAGGGACCTGGTGGGAGATAGTGACTAAGTCTTATGAGATCTGATGGTTTTATAAGAGGTTTCCCCTTTTGCTTGGCTCTTAGTCACTTGTTGCCTGCCACCACGTAAGACGTACTTTTCACTTTCCACCATGATTGTGAGGCCTTCCCAGCCATGTGGAACTGTGAGTCCATTAAACCTCTTTTCTTTGTAAATTACCTAGTCTCGAATATGTCTTTATTAGCAGCATGAGAACAGACAAATACATCCATCAAGGGGCACTCACAGGCAAGTCTGGATGAGGAGGAGCCCTGGAGTGGCAGGGAAATAAGGATGGAGGGTGAGGTTGAGCCCATGGAACCCTCAGGCTGCTTGTGCTGGACTCACCAGATGGAGACGAAGGTGTCCACCATAAAGTTGTTCTTCAGAGTCCCAATCCACATGCTCTGAATATAAGTGACTTTCGCAGACTTACCTTGGCATTGCAGGTAGGATGGGCCCCATGCCAGCATGGTTAGATTGTTCTTCAAGCTCTGCAGGGAGGATGTGCCTTTCAGCAAAGTTCCTCTCCCCCTTACAGCTCCTAAGGTTCCAGAGCAAAAGTAACACCAAAGGGCTGAGCCTCCAAAGTGAACTGCCCTCATATCCCTTACCTCATGACTAACCCAGGGCCAACAGACATCTTCATGGACCCCTAAAGAACAGTGGCGCCGGGCACTGTGCCTGCAGTGCGGCACGGAGAAGCTGAGCATGCAGCCTCTGCTTCTCTTTTTTAAAATCCCAAGAGGAGAATCTAATCAAGTCCATCCCTGGTCCTCTAGGCCATGGTGGGGGCTCAGCAAGGGTTGAGGACCCAAGAGATGCTCTGAGAAGAAAATGGGGGAGAGCCAGCACCCCCAAGGCAAGTTAAATCCCAATTATATTAGTTTCTGTAACAAATTACCACTAACTTAGTGGCTTTCAACAACACTAATGTATTCCTTTCCACTTTTGGGGGTTAGATTCCTAAAGTCAGTCTAACAGGGTAAAAATCAAGGGCTAAAAAGAAAAAATATAAATTAAGATCCCAGCTGGGCGCAGTGACTCACGCCTGTAATCCCAGCACTTTGGGAGGCCAAGGCAGGTGGATAACTCGAGGTCAGGAGTTTGAGACCAGCTTGCCCAACATGGCAAAACCCCGTCTTTACTAAAAATACAAAAATTAGCCAGGCACAGTGGTGGGCGCCTATAATCCCAGCTACTCGGGAGGCTGAGGTGGGAGAATCATTTGAACCCATGAGGCGGGGATTGCAGTGAGCCAAGATCACGCCATTGCAAACTCCAGCCTGAGCAACAGAGAGAGACTCGGTCTCAAAAAAAAAAAAAAAAAAAAAAAAAGAAGATCCCAGCACAAATCACTCAGGCAATCATTGTTGAAACTTTTGAGTGTCTTCTAGATATCTCTTTATGTCCACACCTAGACACACAAACAGATATACTGATGTTACAAACGTGGCCACACTACAGGCTGCAGGCTGTTTTGTAACTTGCTATTTTTACTCAATAATATGTTATTAATTCTTTCTATGACAGTAAAGATATCTGTGATAAAGATAGATCTATGATACACAATCATTTTCAGTGGCTAAAGAGTATCCTAGTGATTGAATATATGAAACTGCCCATTTTGGCAGGTCATGGTGCCTCACGCCTGTAATCCCAGCACTTTGGGAGGCCAAGGCGGGCAGATCACTTGAGGCCAGGAGTTCAAGACCAGGCTGGCCAACATGGCGGAAACCCTGTCTCTACTAAAAATGCAAAAATTATCCAGTTGTGGTGGTGCATGCTTGTAATCCCAGCTACTTGGGAGGCTGAGGCAGGAGAATCACTTGAACCTGGAAGGCGGAGGTTGCAGTGAGCCGAGATCATGCCACTGCACTGCACTTCAGCCTGGGCAACAGAGTGAGACTCTCTCTCCAAAAAAAAGAAAAGAAAGAAAGAACTGCCCATTTTGTAGGCCATAGCTATAGAATACAGGCAGTTCCATATGGCTCAAGCTAAGAGGTACATTGTGATAATTTGCCAGTCAGTCTCTGGGATAGATATTTAACTGTAACTTTTGTTCAATTTTCCCAATTATAAACAATTTTTGGTAACCCTAATATGTCCTTACCATGTGCCAACCACTCTTCTAAGTCTATTTTGCTGACATATATTAACTTTTGCAATTCTTACTCCCCCCCACCAAAAAAATGAAAACAAAAACCAACTCTATAAGGAAGGTGCTAGTATTACCTCCACCTAATAGCCGAACAAACTGTGGTATGAATGAAGCGAGAAGCTTGTCCAAGGTCACATGGTAAACAGCAGCGCCAGCTCTGAACGCAGCCATCTGGCTCCACAGCCTCAGCTCTCTTAAATGCTATGGTAAATGGAATTATTTTTCCAATTTCCTTTTCAAATGTTCCTTGCTGGTGTAAAAAAAAATGCACACACACAATTAATTTTTGTGTGTTGATCTTGTTCCTTGCGACTTTACTGAATTGGTTAATTAGCTCTATCTAATAGTTTTCTTGTGAATTCTTCGGGATTCTCCATATATGGGATTGTGCCATCTGTGATTAAAGATAGTTTTACTTCATTCTTTGCCATCTGGATGCCTTTTATTGCTTTTCTTGTCTAATTGCTCTGGCTAGAACTTCCAGTACAATGTTGAACAGCAGCGGTGAAAGCGGGCATCCTCGTCCTGTTCCTGATCTCAGGAAGAATGCACTCAGGCTATGCTCCTAACAACTGTGCTCACTGTCTGTCCACCCCACATTCATGTTGCCAGAAATCCCTGCACAAGCTTCTTCACACACCTAAGGCATTAAGTCTATACAGGACTTCTGGGTCAAAGGGTGTGCACATTTTCTATCTGAGTTTATTTTCCTAAATCATAAATGCTTGAACCATTTCATGCTTCCATCACCAAAGCAAGAGTGTGTACACTGCCTCTTAAGAGGGGCTTGACAAACAAGCGGTGTGAACTTGGTTGAGACAGTTGAGGGTCTGGTCGCCAGGCTGAGAGCACATGGCCTGTAGGATGGAGGCTGTGAGTTTGAAGAAGAGGAGAGACATAGTAGCAGTGTGCAGCCATTTGAAGAGGGACACAAGGCAAAACTAAGCAAAGGTGAAAGTTACAGGGGGAAAGATTTTGGCTCATTTTCTCAGGAAGAAAAGTGACAGGGCAGTCCCAGAGCAGAACAAGCTTTCCTTGTGGTTACTGCTGGTGATGGTGAGGAAGATGATGAAGATAATTTTCATTTACCACATCAACTTCCCTTTCTCTCCTGTCCCCTTTCCATCTGCACTTAACATCATTTCTCTACTAAAAATACAAAATTAGCCAGGCATGGTGGCACATGCCTGTATTCCCAGCTACTCAGAAAGCTGAGGCAGGAGAATAGCTTGAACCCCAGAGGCGGAGGTTGCGGTGAGCCGAGATCACCCCATTACACTCCAGCCTGTGCAACAAGAGTGAAACTCTGTCTCCAAAATACCCCCTCTTCAATCCCACATTCTCTTACCACCACTCCATGCCTCTCTTCTTCATAGCCAAGTCCCCTGAAAGAGTGAGTCATCATATCCATTTCTGCATCTCCATTCACTCCTCCGCCCACTCCAGTCTGGCTCCCACCCCCATCCCTTCTCTAAAGCCTCTCTTGCCAAGTAAACAACAACGTCATTGTCACTAAATCCAATAGACACACCACATAGCTGATCTTCCTGGAACTCTCAGCACCAGTTGACACTGTGACCATGCCCCACCTCCCTCACCTCCTTCCCTTAGCTTGCAGGAATCCACCTTTGCCTGACTTTCATTGGATCTCTGTGGCTACTCCTTCTCAGAATCCTTTGGGGACTTCAGCACTCCCACCCCTTAAAGGTTAGCCCTTCTCCGGGGTCGGTTCTAGGCCCTCTTGCTTTCTCATCTACTTCTTCTCTTGCTGGTGAATTGCAGCTTCTTCCATGGTTCTAGTTCCCATCTATATGCTGGTGATATAGAAACCTACATCTCAGGCCAGGCGCAGTGGTTCATGCCTGAAATCCCAGCACTTTGGGAGGCTGAGGTGGGCGGATCACCTGAGGCCAGGAGTTCAAGACCAGCCTGCCCAACATGGTGAAACCCAATCTCTACTAAAAATACAAAATTAGCCAGGTGTGGTGGCGGGCACCTGTAATCCCAGCTACTCAGGAGGCTGAGACAGGAGAATCACTTGAGCCCGGGAGGCGGAGGATGCAGTGAGCTAAGATCGCACAACTGCCCTCATATCCCTTAGCTCATTGCAATAGAGGAAGAGTAATTCATGCAGAGCCAGCTCTGTGGGGGAGACCAGAGACTCTGACTCAAAAAAAAAAAAAAAAAAGAAACCTACATCTCAGCTCCAGATTCATATATCCAACCACCTATTCAACATCTACATGCATATGTTCCATGAACACTTCGAACTCAATGCCTTCAGTTCTGACCTCATCTTCCACCCCAAATTGGCTCTTTCTCCTGCATTTCCTATCCCAGCAAGTTATTCCAGCACCTATCAGTTGTCCAAGCCAGAAACATGGCACACTCCTTGACTCATTCTCTCCCTCTTTCCCCCTCACCCATTCAGTTGCCAAATCCTACTGTTTTACCTTTCTAATATTGCTCGAAGTCATCTACTTCTCTCCTCTGCCTCTACTACCTCCTCAGTCCAGGTCACCATCAGCTTTCCTATCTGGACAACCCAATGGTCTCCTAAATGGTCTCCTTTCCTCCAGTCTTACCCTGTCCCCTCCACTCTCTATACTGCACACTGCATACTTTTTTTTTTTTTTTTCTTGAAACGGAGTCTTACTCTGTCACCCAGGCTGGAGTGCAGCAGCAAGATCTTGGCTCACCGCAACCTCTGCTGCCTGTGTTCAAGTGATTCTCCTGCCTCAGCCTCCTGAGTAGCTGGGATTACAGGCATCTGCCCCCACGCTCAGCTAATTTTTGTAGTTTTTAGTAGAGATGGGGTTTCACCATCTTGGCCAGGCTGGCCTTGAACTCCTGACCTCGTGATCCACCCGCCTCAGCCTCCCAAAGTGCTGGGATTACAGGTGTGAGCCACCACTCCCAGCCTACACTGCATACTTTAATGAGAGCATGGACTATGGTGTGAGATGCTTAGGTTCAATCTCAGCTCTACCACTTACTGGCTACACGACCTTGGACAAGTGACTTAACCTTTCTGAGTCATTGTTTCTTCTGTAATAAGAGGATATTAGGGCCCAGCGTGGTGGCTCATGCCTGTAACCCCAGCACTTTGGGAGGCCGAGGTGGGTGGATCATTTGAAGTCAGGAGTTCGAGACCAGTTTGGCCAACGTGGTAAGACCCCCTCTCTACTAAAACTACAAAAATTAGCTGGGCGTGGTGGCGCACGCCTGTAATCCCAGCTACTTAGGAAGCTGAGATAGGAGAATCGTTTGAACCCAGGAAGCAGAGGTTGCAGTGAGCCAAGATCGTGCCACTCCACTCCAGCCTGAGTGATTGAGTGAGACTCCATCTCCCAAAAAAGAAGATATTAGTATTGTATTCGGCAGGGTTTCCAGTTTTAAACAACAGAATTTACTCTGCTGAATTTAAGAAGAAAGATTGTCCAGGAAAGACAAATCTATAGAGGCATAGAGTAGATTCATGGTTGCCTGGGTTGAGCAACCATGGGGAGAGAGTGGGAGTGGGGAGTGACTGTTAATGGGTATGAGGGCTCTTACTAGGCTGATGAAATGTTCTAAAACTGGATCACGGTAATGGTTGAACAACTTGGTAAATTTACTAAAAGTCATTGAAATGTGTATTTAAAATGGGTGATTTTATGATATGTAAGTTATACCTCAATAAAGTTGAGAAAAATATAGAAAAAAAGAGATTTTTTTTTTTTTTGAGACAGGGTCTCACTCTGTCGCCTAGGCTGGAGTCTAGTGGCATAAACACGACTCACTGCAGCCTCAACTTCCCAGGATCAAGCGATCCTCCCACCTCAGCCTCCCCAGTAGCTGGAACTACAGGTGTGCACCACCATGCCCAGCTAATATTTTTTTTTTTTTTTTTTTTTTTTTTTTAGAGATGG
Organism: Homo sapiens; assembly: GCF_000001405.40. Lineage (NCBI taxonomy): Eukaryota > Metazoa > Chordata > Mammalia > Primates > Hominidae > Homo > Homo sapiens. The sequence goes on from NC_000012.12 coordinate 110,062,825, forward strand.
GATCTCAATTTGTTGCTCAGCTGTTCTCAACTGGTCTCAAACTCCTGGGCTCAAGCAATCCTCCCATCTCAGCCTCCCAAAGTGCTGGGATTATAGGGGTGAACCCCTGCAGCGGGCTGAATAAAGAGATTTTTTTTTTAGAGTCTCGCTTGGCTGCCCAGGCTGGAGTGCAGTGGTATGTCTCAGCTCACTGCAACCTCCGCCTCCCAGGTTCAAGTGATTCTCCTGCCTCAGGCGCCTGAGTAGCTGGGATTACATGCACCTGCCACCACGCCCAGCTAATTTTTGTATTTTTAGTAGACACAGGGTTTCACCATGTTGGCCAGGCTGGTCTTGAACTCCTGACCTCAAGTGATCCGCCCGCCTCAGCCTCCCAAAGTGCTGGGGTTACAGGCATGAGCCACCACACCCAGCCCCCCTTTTTTAATTTAATTTTTAAAATTGTCTCAATATTTTTATTTATTTTTTATTGTTTTGAGACGAAGTTTTGCTCTCATCACCCAGGGTGGGGTGCAGTGGTGCAATCTCAGCTCACTGCAACTGCTGCCTCCCGGGGTCAAGCGATTTTCCTGCCTCAGCCTCCGAGTAGCTGGGATTACAGGTGCCTACCACTACGCCTGGCTAATTTTTGTATTTTTTTTTTTTAGTAGAGATGGGGTTTCACCATGTTGGTCAGGCTGGTCTCAAACTCTGGACCTCAAGTGATCCACCTGCCTTGGCCTCCCGAAGTGCTGGGATTACAGGTATAAGCCACCACGCCTGGTGAGGGATTTTTATTTTTATTTATTTATTTATTTATTTATTTATTTATTTATTTATTGAGACCGAGTTTTGCTCTTGTTGCCCAGGCTGGAGTGCAATGGTGTGATCTCAGCTCACTGCAATGCCCGCCTCCCAGGTTCAAGCGATTCTCCAGCCTCAGGCTCCCAAGTATTAGCCAGGCATGATGACGGGTGCCTATAATTCCAGCTACTTGGGAGGCTGAGACAGGAGAATTGCCTGAACCCAGGAGGCAGAGGTTGCTGTGAGCCAAGATCACGCCACTGCAGTCCAGCCTGGGCAACATAGCAAGACTCTGTCTCAAAACAAACAAACAAACGAACAAACAAACAAACAAACCAATGAGCTTGGAAGTGACTTTTCCCCAGAGTCTCCAGACAAGAACTCAGCCCGCTGATGCCTTGATTTAGGCCTGTGGGACTGTGTTAGTTTCCACCGCTGTGTAACAAATAGAAACTCATACAGCCTCAGACAATCCTCATTCCATAGGGGAGCTAGCAGTCTGCAGAGGAACAGAGTGGGGCCCTTTAAGGCATGGGGTCCAGGGAAAGGGATCCCCTATTGTATGGGTCAAAGGGCAATACTTCCCTCTATTCCTGAATTTGAATTCTGCTCATACCCAGCATCCCATGTGATTCCTTGTATATGGAAGTGTTGCCTGGGGCATATTTTTGGAAAGCTTGGGTCTCATACTGTGTCCTAGCTGCAAGGGAACCTGGGACATTCAGTTGTGACATGTATTAGGGAGTGGAACTCATAATACAGAGAGTTCCCCAAACATGTGGCCGTTCAGGTCATGATCAACCACTCCGACAACCAATATTATAGGATTATGTAGGAGGATCAAATAGGCCAATACATGTCACATGCTAAGAATGGAACCCAGCACATGCTAAGACCTCAGCAGCACTCAGTAGCTGTTATGTTTCAAGCAAAATAATGTCTTTAAAATGAAAATAGCGTAAAACCTTTCATGTTTTCTGTATGTTTGAATATTTTCTACTAAGATGCTGGGGTTTGGGGGGACAGCTCTCCATGCTTTCTCAGTGCCCCCCAGATGCAGCTCAAGGTGCTCCACGATCTCACCCCTGCTAGCTTCCCCAGCCCCACCTTGGCCTCGCCTTCTCGGCCACTGTACACGCCAGTTGCAGGCCTGTGAAGAAGCCAGACAAATTGCTCCTTCCTCTTCTCAACACTGTGCTACCCAAGCAGGAGGGCTGAGAGGCTCCAGTGCAGGGTGGGAGGCTGGGCTGGGGCGGTATCCCCAGTGGCCTGTGGGTGCAGGAGAGAAGCCTCCATCCTTGCCCCTCAAAACAAGAAAACCAGATACCAAGGCAGCTTTTCATAAGGCTATAGCCATTCATTTGAAAAAACCATGCTTATCTTTTGAGATAATGTGCTTTCAGCTATTTGGGTGTTTTGGTGTTAGACATGAACAAAGGGATGAAGATAGATGGTAGTAGGCGGTGTTTAATTGCTTGCCTGAGATCCTTTATTTATTTATTATTATTTTTATTATATATGTATACATATATGTGTGTGTGTGTATATGTGCATATATATATATACACATTTTTTTTTTTTGAGACTGAGTCTCGCTGTATCACCCAGGCTGGAGTGCAGTGGTGCAATCTCGGCTCGCTGCAACCTCCGCCTCCTGGATTCAAGCAATTTTTGTGCCTCAGCCTCCCGAGTAGCTGGGATTACAGGCACCTGCCACCACGCCCAGCTAATTTTTGTATTTTTAGTAGAGACGGGGTTTTGCGACATTGGCCAGGCTGGTCTCGAACTCTTGACCTCAGGTGATCTGCCCGCCTTGGCCTCTCAAAGTGCGGGATTACTGGAGTGAGCCACCGTGCCCACTCCTTGATCTCTCCTCAAGTTGGTAAAAGGCATCATCAATCCCTCAGGAATCCGGAGCCATCCTTCACCTCCTAGCAAATCCATCAGTTCTGCCTCCAAAACACATCCCAGCTTTGTCCACATCTCTCTGGCTCCACCATCCCATTCCAGCCCAAGTCTCCATCCCTTGCATCTGGTGACTCCAGCAACCTTCTCACTGGTCCCTCACCGTCATTCTGGTCCCACCACACTCTATGCTCTGCACAGTGGCCCATGAGAGCTTCTAGAAACATGAGTCAGATGGTTTCACTTCTCTGCATAATACTTTTCAGTGGCTTCCCATGGCACTGAAAATCAAATTCCAACTCTTCCCCTGTCCTGCCCCCTGGTCTGGCTCTACCCTCCTCTCTTACCAGGTTCTGGAACATGCTGTCCTTGCTGTTCCTCTTTTGTGCTTCCAGATCTTTGCATTTACTGTTCTCTTGGTCCCGTGTATCACGTGGCTGGATTCTTCTCCTTCTATGGGGTCACCTCCAGAACTGGGTCATCTCTGACCTTCTGACCTCCCCCTCAAGCTCTCACATCACCTAGGTGTCAAGGGTGGGATGAGAATGTGGCAGACCTCATGTTTCTATTTCCCCGAAGATGGTCAGGGGCAGGCCGGGCGCGGTAGCTCACAATTTGGGAGGCCGAGGCAGGCGGATCACTTGAGGCCAGGAGTTCAAGACCAGCCTGGCCAACATGGCGAAGCCCTATCTCTACTAAAATTACAAAAATTAGCCTGGTGTGGTGGCACACGCCTGTAGTCCCATCTACTCGGGAGGCTGAGGCAGAATCACGTGAATCCAGGGGGCAGGGGTTGCAGTGAGCCAAGATCATGTCACTGCACTCCAGCCTAGGTGACAAAGCAAGACTCCATCTAAAAAAAAAAAAAAAAAAAAAAAAAAAAAAAAAAAAACGGCTGGGCGCGGTGGCTCACGCCTGTAATCCCAGCACTTTGGGAGGCCGAGGCCAGCAGATCACCTGAGGTCGGGAGTTTGAGACCAGCCTGACCAACATGGAGAAACCCCATCTCTACTAAAAATACAAAATTAGTAGGGCGTGGTGGCGCATGCCTGTAATCCCAGCTAACTCGGGAGGCTGAAGCAAGAGAATCGCTTGAACCCGGGAGGCGGAGGTTGCCGTGAGCCAAGATCGCGCCATTTCACTTCAGCCTGGGCAACAAGAGCAAAACTCTGTCTCAAAAAAAGAAAAAAAAAATCGGGAGCAGAGGGGCCACGCTTGAGTTGGATTTGCTCCTCCTGGTGTCTGGTGCCTCCCCGACCTCCGTGCTGGGCTCACTTCTATTCAGCTGGAGGAGGCCCAGACCCACAGGTGTGTGGCCACCCACTGGGAAATAGGTGTCCAGCCAGGAGCTCCATTTTAATAGCCACGAACTGGTACAGCAACACCATCTCCATGGCGACGGCCAGCCTGGGACCACGAATGAGAACACAGGCTCACTATTGGCCCCAGTGGAGGCTAACTGGGCAGAGGAGAAGCAGCACCTGTGAGTGGAGTTTGTTCTCCTGTCCCTCTCTCAACCTTCCCTAGTCTGTGGCCATTGGAAAAGCTTCTGTGAGGACTGTTCTCCAGGGAAGAGGGAAATCTTCCCAAGAGAATGCAACCATCTTTTATTCCTTTGCTTACAATCTTCCCATGGCTTCTCAACTCACTCGGAATAAAATCTAAAGAATTCTCCTAGGTGGTGCCATCGTAAGCGGCTTGGTTTAAGCAATAGCTTGGTGGTCACAGAAAACAAATAGTAGTTAAGTACCAAGGTGAGCTGGCAGCCTCTGTGGGCCAAGTCGCACATCCCAAATGAGCAGGTCTTCTGGTGGGACTGAGGAAGGAACCAAGGTAAGAATAGGAGCTCAACAATTACCTAGATAGAGTCTCCACAGCCCAGACAAGCCAGGACTAGAGAAGTAGACTTCAGAAATCCCTGGAATTTCTGGCTTTTGGGAAGACCTTGTAACAGATCACTGTATTTTGTCTGCCTACCCTCCTCACTTCCTTTTCCCATTTTGTCTGGTAACAGGATCTTCCTTCCTAAGGAAAATCCACTGGATGTGGTTCAGTAGGGCTCACACTGCTCCGTCATCTTCTCGAACTCCAGACCTCAGGTGATCCACCCACCTCGGCCTCTCAAAGTATTGGGATTACAGGGGTGAGCCACTGCACCCGGCCGGCTCAGTCATCTTCTCCCTATTTCCTGCCACAGGAACCAGCACATGACCCAGACTGGCCAATGGGATGACACCTTGGCCCAGGCGGTGATTGGTTCAGGGATGGATATGTAATTCACACCCAACCAATCAGAGTCTTTCCCGGGACTTTCCTAACAGAGCATCAGGAAAGACTTGTTGGCTCCTCTGAGGTTGCTAAGAAGAGAATGTAAGGATTTCATGCTACATAGAGAGCTGTTCAAGAAGGAAGCCAAAGGCCGGGTGCGGTGGCTCACGCCTGTAATCCCAGCACTTTGGGAGGCTGAGGCAGGCGGATCACCTGAGGTCGGGAGTTTGAGACCAGCCTGACCAACATGGTTAAACCCTGTCTCTACTAAAAATACAAAAAATTAGCTGGGCGTAGTGGGGCATGCCAGCTACTCAGGAGGCTGAGGCAGGAGAATCGTTTGAACCCGGGAGGCAGAGGTTGTGGCGAGCCAAGATCGCGCCATTGCACTCCAGCCTAGGCAACAAGAGGGAAACTCCGTCTCAAAAAAGAAGAAGAAGGAGAAGGAGAAGAGAAGAAGAAGAAGAAAGAAGAAGAAGAAGAAGAAGAAGAAGAAGAAGAAGAAGAAGAAGAAGAAGAAGAAGAAGAAGAAGAAGAAGAAGAAGAAGAAGGCGGCCAAATAGAAGCAAATGGAACCAAGACGTAGGGAGAGAGAACCTACCTGATGACATAGTGTGAACCCTTATCTTCATCCATGTCCAAGGACAGCACAATCTCTTCAACTGCCCAGTTACATGATTCAATAAATTCCCCTTTGAGGCTTTGTGGTTAACGTAAGCTGGGTTTCTGTCACTTACTGCGCAAACAATCCTGGCTAACATAGACCTGCTTAGCATCCTATCTACATAAACCTGCAACGCTAACTCCTCTTGTAGCTGCATCCCTGCCTCTGACTCCAGATCTGAACTTAGTTGTGAGAATAGAAGAAGCTGGACAGGTTCTTGTTTAATTTCCCCCATAACCAGTCCCCAGTTTCTATCCCAGTTTCAGTAACTGAGGCCCTGTCTCCTTATTCTGGCTCTTTATCCTTCCAGCCCCAGTAGGGACAGCTGGCCAAAACCTGCCACTTGCTACTGTAACCTGAACATTGCTCTAGCCTGTCTGGATTGCCACCTATGGTCCACACCAGTACTACTTGGTGCAAACTACTTCCGCCAATCCCTACACCCCATTGGTATACCCGCTACACAGATGGCTAAGTCATGGTTACATAAACTTAAGGCTTCACACTGCAACTTAAGGCAGCATTTCCCAAGCTGTGTACTGTGAGACTCCATTTGGTGAGATGATAGTAGATAGTCCATTAACAAAGAGGAAAAAAGCAAACTGGCAATAGTTTTTTCTTCAATTTTATATTTTAAAATATAAACTGTGGAGAAACGTTTTACATGGAGGTTATCTTCTAAAGACGGCACTTCAGATAAAAATCATGGCTCATCGCCAGGCACGGTGCCTCACGCCTGTAATCCCAGCATTTTGGGAGGCCAAGGCGGGCGGATCACGAGGTCAGGAGATCGTGACCATCCTGGCTATCATGGTGAAACCCTGTCTCTACTAAAAATACAAAAAATTAGCGGGACATGGTGGCGGGCGCCTGTAGTCCCAGCTACCCGGGAGGCTGAGACAGGAGAATGGCCGGAACCCGGGAGGCGGAGCTTGCAATGAGCCGAGATCACACCATCGCACTCCAGCCTGGGTGACACAGCGAGACTCCGTCTCAAAACAAACAAACAAACAAAAAAACCCATGGCTTATCAAAATTGCCTTTTAAACCCTTAAATTGTCCACATAGCACAGCAAACAACTCCTTCTTCCCAGTGGGTCCACTGGAGCCAATTTCTAGCTCCGGAACAAGTTGCTGTTATTACAGTTTTGCTCCAGGTGAAGGTGAAGGAATTGGCTTATTTTAGGGGTCATGTGGCTGAAAATTATGTACCTAGATTTAAAGGCAGAGCAGCAAGATGCTCACTCTGTGAGAAGCACATGAGAACAGAGAATGATGGAGGGAACCCCCAGATGCAAGTATCCCATTTCACACTTACTCCAGGGAACCCAGTTGCTGAATAATTGTACTAGTTATATTATTCTCTCTCTCCATGTCCCCATGGAACATGTATAACTGAATTTGAGGGAGTTAAATACATGTAAGTTATGATTTCATCATGTGAAAGAAAAATATTCATCATTATAAGGTGTTCTCATAGTAATGTTTTTATATATACAATGATCTGCTTTTAAAAAATTGTGGGCTGGGCATGGTGGCTCACACTGTAATCCCAGCACTTTGGGAGGCCAAGATGGATGGACTGCTTGAGCTCAGGAGTTCAAGACCAGCCTGGACAACACGGTGAAACCCTGTCTCTACCAAAAATACAAAAAAATTAGCTGGGCGTGGTGGTTCCAGCTACTCAGGAGGTTGAGGTGGGAAGACTGCTTGAACCTGGGAAGCAGAGCTTGCAGTGAGCCAAGATCATGCCATTGCACTCCAGCCTAGGTGACAGAGTAAGACCCCATTTCAAAAAAAAAAAAAGAAAAAGAAAAAGAAAAGAAAAGAAATTGTAGGTCAGGAACGGTGGTTCACACCTATAATCCCAGCACTTTGGGAGGCCAAGATAGGAGGATTGCCTGAGGCCAGGAGTTTGAGACCAGCCTGGGCAACATAAGGAAAGCCCTGTCTCTACAAAAACAATAAAAAATTAGCCAGGCGTCATGGCATGTGCCTATGGTCCCAGCTACTTGGGAGGATGAGGCAGGAGGATCACATGAGCCTGAGAAGTTGAGGCTGCAGTGAGCTGTGATCACGCCACTGCACTCCAGCCTAGTGACATAGTGTGACCCTCTCTCACTTTTTAGAGAAAAAAGTAAGAAAGAAAGAAATTGTATGCTGGGCCCAGGAATGTCAGGAAGTCCCATCACCTGCTACATGGAATTATGACATGTAATCCCTGTATTAATGCAGAAGGGGGCATTTACTAATTATGCTCTTTTCCATTGGTCCTATGATAGCTGCTCTAAGTAATATGTCTTGTTTTCGATTTCAGCATGTTTTGTTTTGTTTTTGTTTTTGTTTTTGAGATGGAGTCTTGCTCTGTCATTCAGGCTGGAATGAAGTGGCATGATCTCAGCTCACTGCAACCTCCACCTCCCAGATTCAAGCAATTCTTGTGCCTCAGCTTACCGAGTAGCTGGAATTATAGACACACACTACCCCGCCCAACTAGCTTTTGTATTTTTAGTAAAGACGGAGTTCCACCATGTTGGCCAGGCTGGTCTCAAACTCCTGACCTTAGGTGATTTGCCTGCCTTGGCCTCCCAAAGTGCTGGGATTACAGGCATGAGCCACCATGCCCGGCCCAGTGTATATGTTTATCATTCAATATTTGTTGAGTAGTAAAAATAGGAATCAAATAATGATAATCCTAATGATAGCATTATTAAAAATAAAAACTAACACTTAATAAGGGCTTGCTATGTGCCATATATTTCTTGAACAACTTTGCATTTATTAGTTCATTTAATATTCCTAACAATTCTCCCCATTTTACAGATGAGGAAACCAAGGCTCAAAGAGGTGAAGGATTTTAGAATCCACATTTCCAGATCTCAAATTCCAAACTTGGACATGGTTACTCTGAGGGTCAAAGGAGAGGATGTATATAAAAATACATACATGTATTTTGTATACAAATATATATATATAATACATTCAAAAAGATTATTTTAAAAAATGGATTCCAGTTATGGAGCTCTTATTCTATGTCAATCATCATGATAAGGGCTCCTCATGCCTTTTTTTTTGTTTAATTGTCACAACCCTATGAACAGATGCAGAAACAGAGGCTCAGAGAAGTTAATGACTTGGCCAAGAAGACACAGCCAGTATTATAAAATAAGTTGCCTTGACTCTTAGTAAACTACACTGCCACCCTCTATAAGTATAGGTTGTCATCATCATCATCATCATCAACATCATCATCATCATCACAGAGAATAAGAGGCAGTCACTCCCAGGGAAATGCAAATCAGAACCACAATGAACTACCACTGCACACCCACAAGCATGGCTATAATTAAAAAGACAGACAATAACAAGAGTTGGTGAGGATGTGGAGAAACTGGACCCCTCATACTCTGCTGGTGGGAATGTAAAAGGGTGCAGCTGCTGTGAAATTCAGCTCCACAGTTCCTCCAAGGGTGAAACATAGTTAACATATGACCCAGCAATTCCACTCTTAGGTACATATTCAAGGGAAATGAGAATATATATCCACATAAAACCTTGTTCGCAATGTTTATGGAAGCATTATTCATGATAGCCAAAAAAGAGAAACAACCAAAATGTCCATCAATGGATGAATGGATACATAAAAGTGTTCCATCCATGCAATGGAATATTACTCAGCCATAAAAAGGAATGAAGTGTCAGCCAGGTATGGTGGCTCACGCCTGTAATCCTAATACTTCAGGAGGCTGAGGTGGGAGGATTGCATGAGTGCTGGAGTTTGAGACCAACCTGGGCAACATAGTGAGACCCCAAATCTAAAAAAAAAAAAAAAGTAATGAAGTATCAACATGTTACAACAGCTACAACATGGATGAGCACCGAAAACATGCTAAGTGAAAAAAAGCCAGCCACAAAGGACCACATATTGTGTGAGTCCATTTACATGAAATGTCCAGAATAGGTAAATCCATAGAGGCAGAAAGCAGATTCATGGGTGGGAAGGAGGGGGAATGGTGTTGGAAATGATGGCAAAGGAGTGTGGGTTTTTTTTGTTTTTTTTTTGAGTTGATGAAAATATTCTCAAATTGATTGTGGGGATGCTTGCACAACTCTGTGAATAATCTGAAAACCATTAAATTGTACCCTTAAATGGTGAATTGCATGGTGTACTGTTTCTTTTAGAAAAAACAAAAACCAGCCAGACACGGTGGCTCACGCCTATAATCCCAGCACTTTGGAAGGCTGAGGCAGGTGGATCACATGAGGTCAGGAGTTCTAGACCAGCCTGGCCAACATGGCGAAACCCCGTTTCTACTAAAAATACAAAAATTAGCTGGGCTTGGTGGCAGGCACCTGTAATCCCAGCTTACTTGGTGGCGGGGGAGGATAGCGTGTGGGCAGGTGGAGGCAGGCGAATCTCCTGAACCCAGGAGGCGGAGGTTGCAGTGAGCCAAGATCACACTGTCACACTCCAGCCTGGGGTACAAGAGCGAGACTTCATCTCAAAAAAAAAAAAAGAAAAAAGAAAAGAAAAAGAAAAAAACAAAAGGCAGGTGTTGGTGACCTGAAGTTAAAATACATTTATAAACCTGGTCCTATTCTTCCCAAGCACGGTGACTCAAATGCCAGCCTGATCACCAGGAGTGCCCTGAGATCCTTGCCTCCTCCCTGGGAATCCAGGATGTTGCCCTGCGCTTTCCCACCTTCCCCAGGCACACCCTGCCCTGCTCTCCCTGGCGGGCCTGGAGTAGATCAGAAATGAATCCCGCTCGCCTTCCATGGCTTCTCTCTGCTGCAGCCTGGCACCATTTCCTCTTGCCTGATGCTGCTTCCTCCCTCCCGCCCGGTTTGCTGTGAAAGCACGTCCAAATTTGAAAACCATGTGAGATTCAGAATGTGCACCTGAAGCTGCCCCCTGGGGCTTTCTGTGCTGTCAACCACTGCAGAGATCTGGGGTCCTCCCTGCATCCCACTTACCTAACATAGGAAAAGACGATCACGTGGAAGAACTTAATGGTGCCATAATTGATGCTTTGGATCCGGGCGACTTTGTTTGTCTCATACAGGAAAACATCACTGCAGCTGCAGCAGGCTGGCACGGTTACAGCCTCCCTTCCTGCGCGGGGCTGGACCAGGGCTCAACTCTCCCAGATGGGGCCACAGCAAGCCCCCTCCCAGTAACTGCAAAATGAAACATACTGATTTTTAGCGGGAGCCTTTAACTTTGAGCTCTTCCAATGACTGTGGAGTGGGGGCGGGCCCTGGCAGTTGCCCCAGATGTGACTTCGATAAACAAGAAGGGCCAAGTCCTAAGGGCCTGGTTGGCAGATGACCTCGCCCCAGCTGGCCTCCCCCAGATGCCTACACAAAGATGGTATTCAGAGGATGGGCATTTTTAGAATTCTCCTTTTTTCCCCCTTTCCTTTCGCTTTTTTGGACTCATTTCTGTTGGGAAAAGGGGGCAGCCCTGCAAATGTCACAAGACCCAGAGCTTCGATTGTACCTCAGAAAAGGGCTGAGATCTTTCCATTGCCTCAAGCCCCACTCAGAGATTGATTCATTCATTTCTACAACCCTTTATTCAGCCCCTGATATATAGGAGCTCTGGGTAAATAAAGGTCTCCCCTTCTTCTTCTACCAGCCCTTATAATATTCTGGTCTGTAGCTACCAGCCCTTATGATATTCTGGTCTGCAGTTGGTGGGGAAAATCAGATTTGCAGGAGTGGGGATGCTAGGGGTGGAGGGGTTTTATTTATCTGCAGGATCTTTCTCGCTTGACCCTCTGAGTTACTCTCCACCCTGCTCTGTGCCCCGGAAGTTCAACCCATGACCTAGATCAATCAGCCCAAGATCACCAGGGACCAAGTGGCAGCCCAACAAAGCTAGGTTTATTGATCTATTCCATGAGGGACGCCACCCACCAGATGAGCCTCAGGACATCACCAAACAGTGGAAGACAGCGATTTATTACAGGATTCCGAGGAAAGTGGAGTTTAGATAAAATCCAAATGAAGTCATGTTTTGATAGACTCAAAGCAAAGCAGGCTTGTACAAAGCAGTCAACCTCAAATCTGGATTGCAAAGGGGACCCAGGGCCCTGTTTTCTTGAAAGCAACAAAGCTAAGATAAATGTCAAATGTGTCCAGAAACTCTTTATCTGAATCTCTGCTCCTAAGTTGTAAATTGAGGCTGCTTCTCCGTGTCAAGATGACTTAGATCCTCCAGGCAAAATTGGAATATTTCAATCTTAGTCACATAATTTCAAACAGCAAACTTTCTGATGGTCTGTGATTTTAAAGGACAATGTTTCAGCAGTCACTCAAAGACAGGGGTGGGGTAATATTATAACTTTACAGCTACAAAGAAATATTGTTTCCTGTTATCTTTGCAGCTGACTTGATCCATTTCTGTTACTCCAGTCTGCTAAGTGGCCAGGTAGATTTTTACTTTTCCAGTCTGAGCTAATTTGTACATTCCCACCCACACTAACTGTATCAGGGTCCCCCCCTCCCAACCCCCCGCCCCCGACCCCTGGCTTCCAGTTCAGGAGACTGGAGAGCAGTGAGGATGGACGTGACTCCAGGCCCTACCCTTCTCAGTTCCATATAGGCGGGGCTTCTGGGCACTACTCCCTCCTTTAGTCCTGGGAGTGGTAAGGGTTCCCCACTCTTGCCAGCCCCAGGCAGCTCACTATCTCTTATTGCTTTTTCTTTTCTTTTCTTTTCTTTTTTTTGAGACGGAGTCTCGCTCTGTCGCCCAGGCTGGAGTGCAGTGGCACAATCTCGGTTCACTGCAAGCTCCGTCTCCCGGTTCATGCCGTTCTCCCGCCTCAGTCTCCCAAGTAGCTGGGACTACAGGCGTCCACTACCACGCCCAGCTAATTTTGTTTTTATATTTTCAGTAGAGACGGGGTTTCTCCGTGTTAGCCAGGATGGTCTTGATCTCCTGACCTTGTGATCCGTCCGCCTCAGCCTCCCAAACTGCTGGGATTACAGGCGTGAGCCACCGCGCCCCCCCCCACCACCTTATTGCTTTTTCTTAACTCTGCCCACACCTTTGTAAATCGTCCCATCATTAGTTACCCCACTTGAGTATACCATTGCTTTCCCACCAGGAATCTGAGCGATACAGTCATCTTCATCTGTAAAAAGAGAAGATTCACAGGTAGAGCCTGATGCTTAGAACATCGGCCTGGCGGTGCAGGGTGGCTCACACCTGTAATCCCAGCACATTGGGAGGCCAAGATGAGCAGATCACTTGAGGTCAGGAGTTCCAGACCAGCCTGGCCAACATGGCGAAACCCCATCTCTACTGAAAATACAAAAATTAGCCAGAGATGGTGTCAGGCACCTGTAATCCCAGCTACTTGGGAGGCTGAGGGAAGAGAGTTGCTTGAACCCAGGAGGCAGAGGTTGCAGTGAGCCGACATCATGCCACTGCACTCCAGCCAGGGCAACAGCAAAACTCCCTCTAAAAAAAAAAAAAAAAAAAAAAAAAAGAACATTGGCTGTAGGGAACTAATGGCCTGACTTCCAATCCTGGTTTCACATCTTACCTGCTCTGTGACCTTGGACAGCTCTGTTCATTTTATTCATTCACTTATTCATTCATTCATTCCCAAGAGCACCAGGAATAGTGGATATAGCAGCGGACAGGCAGACAAGTCAAATGTCCATCCACTGACAAATGAATCCACAAAAGGGTGTCTGTCCATAAAAGGGAATATTATTCATCCTTAAAAAGTAATGAAGCACTGACCCATGCTTCAACATGGATGAGCCTTTAAAACATTACACTAAGTGAAATAAGCCAAATGCAAAAGGACACCTTTTTTTTTTTTTTTTTTTTTGAGATGGAGTCTCACTCTGTCGCCAGGCTGGAGTGTAGTGGCGCAATCTCAGCTCACTGCAACCTCCACCTCCCGGGTTCAAGTGATTCTCCTCCCTCAGCCTCCTGAGTAGCTAGGACTACAGGCGTGCATCTCCACACCCAGCTAATTTCTGTATTTTTAGTAGAAACGGGGCTTCACCATGTTGGCCAGGATGGTCTCAATCTCTTGACCTCGTGATCTGCCCTCCTCGGCCTCCCAAAGTGCTGGAATTACAGGCGTGAGCCACCATGCCTGACCAGGATACTTCTTTTATGACTCTATTTATAGGAAATGTCCAGAATAGGCAAATCACTTCAGTGTTGCTCTTGCTACCACTCTAAGACATCTATTTTCTTGTCTTTCTTTTGCTTGTTTGTTTGTGACGGAGTCTCATTCTGTCGCCCAGGCTGGAGTGCAGTGGCATGATCTCAGCTTACTGCCATCTCTGCCTCCTGGGTTCAAGAGATTCTCCTACCCCAGCCTCCCAAGCAGCTGAGATTACAGGCACACACCAGCATGCCCGGATAATTTTTGTGTTTTTAGTAGAGACAATGTTTCACCATGTTGGCCAGGCTGGTCTCAAACTCCTGGCCTCAAACGATCCGCCCACCTCGGCCTACCAAAGTGCTGGGATTACAGGTGTGAGCCACTGCGCCTGGCCTATTTGTTTTTCTGCTGAGCTCTTGCACTGATCCCTCACGCTCTCCCCTCTCTACTCCTTCAGCCCTTGTCCTCTATTTCACCATTGCCACCTCCACCACTCCATGGATTCTGTTCTCAATGAGGTTACCAAAGACTTCTCAGTAGCCAGACTTTGTTGATATATTTTAGTCCTTATTTTACTTTATCTCTTGGATGCATTCAACACCACTGACCACTTTCTGCTTCTTGGAGCAGTTTTTTCCCTTGGTTTCCATGACTCTCCTGGGTCCCATGTTCTCCTGGTTTCTCATTTGTACCTCTATGACTCTTTATCTTATCTTTCTTTTTTAAAAATAATTTAATTTATTTATTTTAGAGACTGGGTCTTGCTCTGTCACCCAGGCTGGAGCGCAGTGGCATGATCATAGTTCACTGCCGCCTCAAACTTCTGGGCTCCAGCGATCCTTCTGCCACAGCCTCCTGAATAGCTGGGACCACAGGCACATGCCACCAAGCCTGGCCATTTTTTTTTAATTTTGTAGAGATAGGGTATTGCTATGTTACCCAGGCTGGTCTCAAACTCCTGGCCTCAAGTGATCCTCCTGCCTCAGCCTCCCAAAGTACTGGGATTACAGGCATGAGCCACTGCGTCCGACCTTTGTCTTAACTTTCTCTGGCTCTCTTCTCCCTGTAAATTTCAGTTCCAACAAATTGTCTCTCAGCACTTTTTATGTTCCTATCTGGATAGGACAGGTTATGCTCAAATAAGAAAGCTCTCTCAGAGTCTCATGGCTTATAACAGTGATGATTTAATTCTCACCCACACTACATGTCCATCATGGATCTCCCAGAAGGCTCTACTCTCTGTAGTCACTCAGAGATCAAGGCTAACGGAACAGCCACTGTCTTGAACTCTTTAATGAGAACTATGGAGAGTCTCACAGTAGCAATTAAATGTTCTGACCTCGTGATGGAAAGAATATAAAGTTACCAAAAAAAAAAAAAAAAAAAAAAAGCTCTGACCTAGAAATGCACTCACTTCTACTCATTACTCATTGGTCAAAACTAATCACTTAGTCCTACCCAACCACTAGGGAACCAGGAAATGCAGTTCCCGCATATATCCCCCATGTATCCAGAAACTGCAGAAGCAGAAATATTTGGTGAACAGCGCTAATGACTATTGCATCTTCTCCCTGGGAAATTTCATCCACACACATTGTTTTAAGAATAATCAAATGCTAAATGCGAAGCAGGTGGGAGGAGGGGGTATATATGTATATTATATGTTTAATTATGCATGGAATATAACTGGAAACAGGATCTACTATATAATTTGCAAGGCCCAGTGCAAAATGAAAATGTGAAGTCCGTTATTTAAAAGTTAAACATTTCAAAATGGTGACAGCAAAGCATTAAACAAATTCAGATTCCTTCTAAGTGTGGGTCCCTATATGACTGCACAGGTCCCATGCCCATGAAGCTAGCACATCTGGAAGGCTATACAAGGTGGTCTCTGGGAAGCGAGCTGAGGCTGGGGGAATTAGTCGGTGTTTGACGATTTATTTATCACCCTGCTTGTATCTGAATTTTTTCTACCATATGCGTTCATTACTTTTTTTTTTTTTGAGACAGTTTCACTCTTGTTGCCCAGGCTGGAGTGCCATGGCGCGATCTAGGCTCACCGCAACCTCTGCCTCCCGGGTTCAAGCGATTCTCCTGCCTCAGACTCCCGAGTAGTTGGGATTACAGGCATGCGCCACCATGCCCGGCTAATTTTTTGTATTTTTAGTAGAGACAGGGTTTCTCCATGTTGGTCAGGCTGGTCTCAAACTCCCGACCTCAGGTAAGCCACTGCACCCGGCCTGCGTTCATTACTTTTTAAATCACTGAACGCTAAATCTGTATCTCCAGACCATATCTGAATTCTGTGCATAGTCTATGAATCTATGAACCTATATAACCCACAGACACTTCAAGTCACATCTTCAAAATGAAACGCTTTCCCACAAAACAGTGCAAGTAAGGACTAATGAGAGGAGAGAGTGGAGACAGGCATGGACTATTTCTTCTATAGTCTTGGCTAGGAGGAAAAAGAGGTAAGAGGCCGGGTGCTGTGGCTCATGCCTGTAATCCCAGCACTTTGGGAGGCCGAGGCGAGTGGATCACCTGAGATCAGGAGTTCAAGAACAGCCTGGCCAACATGGCAAAACCTGTCTCTACTAAAAATACAAAAATTAGCTGGGTGTGATGGCGCCCGCCTGTAACCCCAGCTACTCGGAAGGGTGATAGAAGAATCACTTGAACCTAGGAGGTGAAAGTTGCACTGAGCCGAGATCGCGCCACTGCACTCCAGCCTGGGTGACAGAGCGAGACTCCGTCTAAAAAAATAAAGAAAGAGAGGTAAGAATGGTCTTTAATGGAGTCATGGGAAAATGTGTGTGTGTTGCAAGGATGTAGAGAAGATGGAACCATTTGAGCCATTCAAAGATTTTGATAGACTAAGTGGGATGTTGAGAATGGTGGTCTCTGTTTCTTTGTGAAGTAGGAAGCCACGTGTGAAGAAATGGGGATTGGGGATTGAATGGTGGATTTCTTAGTCATGTGTGTGTATGTGTTTACAATTTACAGAAAATCAGGTGACATTCTTCAGCAGAAAAGGGAGGTTTTTCTGAGGAAACACTTATCTCACAGAGCTCAAGTGCAGGAAATGTGGCCCAACCTCATGAGAACCTATTAATAGAATCAGAAACTAAACTGTCCTGAGCTGAAGTTGCTCTTTCAGTTTGAAACTGCGTGGGCCCGCCTCTGTTTGTCTCTCTGTGCGCCCATTGTGAGTCTCTGTAAACAATGGATTCCTCTGTTTCTCCCAGGGCACGTGGTCCAACACTGCCTTCAAGGTTAGGTGTCCACAGTTCGAGTGCAAGCCCAGATCCACTATCCAGTTCCGGAATTCAAGGGGAATGATTGGCCTAGTTATTTATCCCTAGTCCAATCAGCTATGGCTGTGGGCGGGGCCACAAACAAACATGGCGTCAAGCGCTGACGTCCATGAAGGGAGAAGACAGGGAGAAAGGAGGAAGAAGAAAAGGAAGGAGCGAGAGAGAGAGAGAGAGAAAGAAGAGAGAGAGCTCTCAGAGAATAGAGGCTAGGGGACTGCTGATTAAATACCCCAATTCCCTCAGGTGGGACAGCACTGAGGCAGGTCTAGGCAGTCTCCAGGGGACCCTAGTGGGACAGAGCCCAGATGCCCACAGCGATGACCTGCCCTTCCTTTTTTAATTCCACCCCCCTCCGCTCCCACCCCCGAGATGGAGTCTCGCTCTGTTGCCCCGGTTGCAGTGCAGCGGCGCCACATCGGCTCACTGCAACCTTCCCCTCTCGGGTTCAAACGATTCTTCTGCCTCAGCCTCCCCGAGTAGGTGGGGATTACAGGCGCCCTCCACCACGCCCGGCTAATTTTTGTATTTTTAGTAGAGACAAGGTTTCACTATGTTGGCCAGGCTGGTCACGAACTCCTGACCTCAAGTGATCCAACCACCTCAGCCTCCCAAAGTGCTGGAATTACAGGCGTGAGCCACCATGCCTGGTCGTGACCTGCTCTTTAGTGCTTCCTGTGTCGATTGCCTTCCCTTCCCTGCCTCCCTTCCCCATGCCTCTTCCTGGGTCACCTCCCAACAAACTACATTCACCTGAACCTCGTCCAGCCGTTATGTGCTGGTGTTAAGGAGTCTGTCTGGAATTTTCCCTGAGAGCAATAAGTGGGTTTATAAACAAGGGTGTGGCATGATCTCATTTGCAACTCAGAGCACTCTGGCTGCACCCTGGAAAATGGGCAGAAAGGGCAAGAGTGGAGACAGGGTCCTGCCCAGGGAAAGGGTACAGTGACATGGAGGGGGACTGAAGACAGCTCCTTAAAGGACACCAACATCAAGGAGACTAAGCTGAGGCACTAGGGAGGAGAGGAAGACCAGGAGACAGTGAGTATCCAGAGGCCACGGGATGAACACTTCACAAGTAAGCCGGTGGCCAAGGAGATATTAAGAGCGATGGTAAAGCTGTGAAATTAAAGCCGCTCTAGTAAGGGACCTGACAGATAAATTACTGGAACAGAATGGAGTCAAGTATTAAACACGAAGATAGGTGGAACCCGGGTGTGGTGGCTCACACCTGTAATCCCAGCACTTTGGGCAGCCAAAGCAGCAGGATTGCTTGAGCCCAGGAGTTCAAGATCATCCTGGGCAACAGAGGGAGGCCCTGTCTCTACAAGATATAAAAATAAATCAGCCAGTGGTGGTGCACGCCTGTGGTCTCAACCACTCGGGAGGCTGAGGTGGGAGGATCGCTTGAGCCCGGAAGGTCAAGGCTGCAGTGAGCCATGTTCATGCCACTGCACTCCAGCCTGGGCAACAGAGTGAGACTCTGTATGCAAAAAAAAAAAAAAAAAAAAAAAAAAAAAAGTAGGAACTTAGTGTGTGATAAAAACATTTAAATCAAGGGAGAAATAAATTCCTCCAGATAGGATCTTTAAACAATTGGCTACTCATTTAGGGGAGGTCCGAGGGAGAGGAAAATGTACTCAAACTTTACAGATTTGAAAAGATGTGTAACTTTTCAAAATATAAAGTGATAGAACTGTCATAGGTAAACTGAGTCCTTTCCTTATTTTATATCACTTGCAAAGAAAGAACACCAAAATTGGAAAAAAAAAAAAGGCCAGCTGGATTTATTCTCTGGCCAGAGAAGGAGAAGGAGTGACCTCTCACTCCAGAAACACCTCCTCCTCCCCAAGCTGTGGAAAGCTGGAGAATTTTAAAGAGTTAGATATGGGGTGGAAAGGTTTGTAAGTCTGTGCAGGGAGGAACTTTAGATGCGCAGGCACAAACCATAAACATGTGTCTTCATACGATGCATGGTCAGAAAATAGTAATTTTCTTCTATGGGTGGGGATTTTAGTATTATAATAATAAGTTAATGATCTAAAGATAACAAGGAGTCCCTGATTCTGGTTTGCTCTGGTTTCCAGCAGGCCTTACCTTCCTCTGATAATTGGTGAAACATTTTGAAGCTCCCAGGGCATCTAGAGTCCTTGTAAACTAGCATACCTAGAGGTAAAGAGACTGAAAGAAACTGTTTAAGAAATGACATAGAGCTTTTGCAGTTATCGACCACTTAAGAAAATAATGAATATTCAGCTGTTTTGCTCTCTCAGCTATTTCTCCAGGACTGCCCCAACAAGAGTCTCCAAAAGTGAGCAAAATCAGCTACACAAAATGGGACATGCAAGTTACCATTCTATTTGTATTGCACACATTTTGCATTAAAGATAGAAAATGCAAACAAAGATAACTGGACACCCTTTGAAATTACTCAACTGATGATGACACCTCACTCTCCTCTACCTGGCTGGTGTTCCATACTTCTTCCCACAGACTCTGTGAACATGTCCGTACCAGCGGGGCTTTACAGCCACGATACAAGGCTTTTCTTCTTTTTTTCTTTTTTTTCTTGAGATGGAGTCTCGCTCTGTCGCCCAGGCTGGAGTGCAGTGGCACAGTCTTGGCTCACTACAAGCTCTGCCTCCCAGGTTCACGCCATTCTCCTGCCTCAGCCTCCTAAGTAGCTGGGACTACAGGCGCCCGCCACCATGCCTGGCTAATTTTTTTGTATTTTTAGTAGAGACGGGGTTTCACCGTGTTAGCTAGGATGGTCTCGATCTCCTGACCTCGTGATCCGCCCAAAGTGCTGGGATTACAGGCGTGAGCCACCGTGCCTGGCCAAGGCTTTTCTTCTCTGTCGGGTGTGCAATGTTCCAGCCGTGGTTCACTGTGGTTTCTTTCTTGATAACTGCCATGACTAAAACAACATGTCAAAGCAATATTATTTTCCTCTATATTTCTCCAGGGCTATTTCTCAGTGAATGTGCCTTTTTAACTCTCTCTTGCTTCCTTCTCATCACCTAATTCAGAATGCTTTTTCTTTTCAGACCGAGTTTCGTTCTTGTTGCCCATGGGAGTGGAGTGCAATGTCTCAGCTCACTGCAACCCCCGCCTCCTGGGTTCAAGTGATTCTCCTGCCTCAGCCTCTCAAGTAGCTGGGATTATAGGAATGCGCCACCACGCCTGGCTAATTTTGTATTTTTAGTAGAGATGAGGTTTCTCCCTGTTGGTCAGGCTGGTCTCGAACTCCCGACCTCAGGTGATCCCCCTGCCTCGGCCTCCCAAAATGCTGGGATTATAGTCATGAGCCACTGTGCCTGGCCCAGAATTCTTAAAATAAGTTGATCAAGAGTCTATTGCCTAGTGATGTCAGAGGGTTAGCAGAAACCCCCGTGCCTTGGTATCTAAAAATGTTTTTCTTTTAGTTATGCTAAACTGGTGCTGCCTAATAGGGTGGCTACTCACCCCATGTGGCTACTTCAATTTAAATTAATTAAAATGAAATAAAATTTAAAATTCACTTCTTCAGTTGTACAAGCCGTATTTCAATAGCCACATGTAGCTAATGGCTACCATATTGAACAGCAAAGACATACAGAACTTGCCTACCATTGTAGAAAGTTCAACTGGACAGTGCTACAACATCTGTGGGATAGAAGAAAAGGTGAGTTTAGTTGCAAATAAGCAAGTAAGGTAAGGGTAGTCCCAATCAGATAGATGGCATCTATTTTGTGTGAAGTCTTGTGCTCACGCCCATAGTCCCAGCTACTTGGGAGGCGGAGGTGGGAGGATCACTTGAGGCCAGGATTTTGAGACCAGCCTGGACAACATAGCAAAATAAAAATAAAAAATATTTTCTTTTCCTTTTTCTTTTTTTTTTTTTTGGAGACACAGTTTCGCTCTTGTTGCCCAGGCTGGAGTGCAGTGGTGCGATCTCGGCTTACTGCAACCTCTACCTCCCGGGTTCAAGCAATTCTTCTGCCTCAGCTTCCCAAGTAGCTGGGATTATTGGCATGTGCCAACATATTCAGCTACTTTTGTATTTTTAGTAGAGATGGGGTTTCACCATGTTGGCCAGGCTGGCCTTGAATTCTTGACCTCAAGTGATCCACCCGCCTCGGCCTCCCAAAGTGCTGGGATTACAGGTGTGAGCCATGAGATGGAGTCTTGCTCTGTCGCTCAGTCTGGAGTGCAGTGGCAAGATCTTGGGTCACTGCAACCTCCACCTCCTGGGTTCAAAGGATTCTCCTGCCTCAGCCTCCTTAGTAGCTGGGATTACAGGCGTGCACCACCACCCCCAGCTAATTTTTGTATTTTTTTTAGTAGAGACAGGGTTTCACCATGTTGGCCAGGCTGGTCTCAAACTCCTGAGTTCAACACAAATATTGAAATAGGAGGCAGGGTAGTCCCAGCCACTTGGGAGGCTGAGGTAGGAGGATCACCTTGAACTCAGGAGGTCAAGACTGCAGTAAGCCATGATTGTACCACTTCACCCCAGTCTGGGCAACAGAGTAAGACCCTGTCTCAAAAAAAAAAAAAGAAAAAGAAAGAGAGAAAGAAAGAAAAAGAAGGAAGGAAGGAAAGGAAGGAAGGAAGGATGGAAGGAAGGAGGGAAAGAATAGAAAAAGAAATAGGAGGCAGAGTTGTCTGATGAGAATGAGAGGAAAGGCAAGAGGGTGGGAAGTGGGATGAGTGTCAAGAAGATTCAAAATAGTTGCTATGGTGAACGGGAGGAGAGCGCCAACAGGGAAAACAGGAATTCCCGGGTGGTGGTAAGAATTAGAGACCATGAATTTGTTATTGCCAGCAGTCTAAGTGACAGATTATGGGAGCAACCTGGGGCCTTCCCACCAACAGGAACGGCCTTCCACCTCCACACCCAGCAACCCACCAGGACTTGCCAAGTGGTTCACATAATTTTAAGGTATGTCATCATTGGTGTCTACTGTTTGTTATGGTGTCAACATGTGTTACTGGGACTGTAACTAGCCAGGCCCAAGATACAGCAGCAAAAGGCTGATTCTGTTGCTCTGCCCATAGATCACCCTTTCCTGGGACTTGCATCCCCTGTCAGGCCACAACATAGAGCAGAAAGCTTTTCTTTGTCCCCTGACTCAACTCAGCCACTGGGAATGACTTGGTTCACTCAGCTTAATCTGGATATACCTACCCTACCTTCTTATAAATGCTGGGTTTATTTAAACCTCAAGATCTCCCCTCTATTCCTCTCTACCCAAGCTGAATACCCATGCTATCCTTGGGAAATTCAAAAAATACCTGTTTCCTAGTCAAGATAGCTGGCCATTTTACATAACAACCCAGGTCTTCTGCAACCCTAAACAAAGGCTGGAGATAGATGAGGAAAACTAAGGCTCTCCTAATGGTGGAGGGTAGAGAGACGTCTGAGGTTTCTGGAGGACTGAGGACCTGTTGTCTTCTCCACCAGTCTAACCAGAACAGGTATAAACATCATGGAAGGAAATTTACATTGATCCAGGACTGGGCTTTTGCCACAAGTTGCAAATTATGTTATTTAGGGTGCTTTTGTGTGAAAGTAGCAGAATGCCTGACTCAAGCTGGCTTAAATATGAAATAAATGGTTATTTCATGTACTAGGATATCCTGGGGCAAGATAAGCTTCAGAGTGTGTTGATTTAGTGGCTTGACAACATAGTCAAGGATCTGGGTTCTTTCTTTCTCTCTGTACTGCCACCCTTGTTGTTGGGTTCGTCCTCAGAAAGAAAGATAATCAATTCTTTTGTCTCTTTCATGGGAAAATCTTTCCCAGAGTCCCTTTCGTCCCACCTCACTCTACCCTCTAGTGCTAGAAGTGAGTCACACGCCTGTTCCTCTCCTGACAAAAGACAGGGAATGACCATGACCTGCTTGGACCAACCATCTGGGTTGGAATGGATGTCGGGGAGTCGTTCACAACATCCATGCCTGGATATAGCAAAGATCATGGAATCTAGGCTGGATGGGAAAGGAATTGGAGGAAGGAGGGTCCTGAGAGGGAGAAAGTGGAAGGGCCAAGGGATTCTGTAGTTCAAAGAACTGCTAAGCTGGAATGACCAAAAGAACAGAAGGTGCAAGCCTGTGATCAGAGAAATGTGAGACTTTAGAGGAAGATTTTTTCCAGGAGAAACCAAGGTCCAGGACATGGTCCAGGGAAATGGTGGCTAAAGCAGAGTGGAGGTGAAGGTCATTGGAATAAGAAGGGACAGGAGCTGAGGGGCCAGGAGTTCGGCCAGGTCCTAGGTCATTAAAGTCACCAGTATGGCAGTAGGAACTGGGGTGAGAAGGATAAGCCAGTTGCCAAAGCCCTTTGAGAATAAGGGTTGATAGGTTGGTTGACTGATTGATGAGTAGGCATCATCAATGAGAGGGCACAGAAGGTGGTACAGCCAGATGCCAGGAGCCTCAGCACTTACTCAAGATGGAGGACTATGGATCTAGTAATAGAGGTGTGGAGGACAGAGGACACCATGGGGTTGGGAGAAGGACCACCATTCCCTGGTAAGGGCTTCAAGGACTATCAGGGAAGAGCCAGGGCTTACTTAGGGCAGGAAGTAGAGGGAACTGTTTGTGCAGAGGTCATGACCTTAAAAATAAAGAGCACGCCCCACTCTTCCTTTACTCCATCTCACAGGCTGGAATGAGAATCTGTAAGTGAGCCACCTTTGACCCAGAATTTGGGAACTCATACCCCTCACTTGCTAGTTGGTAATAGAAGCACGCTTGAAACAGTCCTTCCCACGTGTCCATTAATCCCGAGAGCTTGTCAGTCTCAGGGGTGTAGCAGACACTCTTAATTGCCCATTCAAAATTCATTCTAAGTGGGGCATGGGAGCTCATGCCTGAAATCCCAGCACTTTGGGAGGCAGGAGGATCCCTCGAGCCCAGGAGTTCAAGATCAGCCTGGGCAACATAATGAGACCCCTTTTCTCTATAAAAAATAGAAAATATAGCCAGGTGGAGGCAGGGCGTGGTGGCTCATGCCTGTAATCCCAGCACTTTGGGAGGCTGAGGTAGGTGGATCACCTGAGGCCAGGAGTTTGAGACCAACCTGGCCAACATGGCCAAACTCCGTCCCTACTAAAAATACAAAAAATTAGTTGGGTGTGGTGGTGGGCGCCTGTAATTCCAGCTACTCGGGAGGCTGGGGCAGGAGAATCGCTTGAACCCGGGAGTTCTAGACAGGTCTCACTGTATCAGCCCAGGCTGATCTCGAACTCATGAGCTCAAGCAATCCTCCCATCTCAGCCTCCCAAAGTGCTGAGATTACAGGTTTGAGCCAGTAGGCCTGGCCCCTACATCTTTCTTTAGAAGCCCCACAACAAATTTCCTCTCGTGTTTCATAGCCATACACTTGTTTTCATACCCATTCACTGCAGAGCCTGCAGTGAATCGAGATTGCACCACTGCACTCTAGCCTGGGTGACAGAGCGAGACTCTATCTCAAACAAAAAAAAAAGAAAAAGAAAAAATAGCCAGGTATGGTGGCATGCACCTACGGTCCCAGCTACTCTGGAAGCTGGGTGGCAGTTGGTGGGGGATCATTTGAGCCCAGGAGGTGGAGGCTGCAGTGAGTGCTGAGTGAGACCCCCTCTATAAACAAACAAACAAACAAACAAACAAACCATTCTATTTTCCTTGTTAACAGAATCCCCAATTTTATTCAGGTTTTAAACTCTTGAGAAAGACAACATCATCCCCAATTCAGGAATATCATGTTAGTCCCATTCTACTTGTGGGTGACTGGTGTAGGAATGGGTATGAAAACAAGTGTATGGCTATGAAACACAAGAGGAAATTTGTTGTGGGGCTTCTAAAGAAAGACGTAGGGGCCGGGCTTACTGGCTCAAACCTGTAATCTCAGCACTTTGGGAGGCTGAGATGGGAGGATTGCTTGAGCTCAGGAGTTTGAGATCAGTCTGGGCTGATAGTGAGACCTGTCTATAAAAAATTTTTAAATTAGCCAGGCGTGGTGGTGCATGCCTGTTGTCGCAGCTACTTGGGAGGCTGAGGTGGGAGGATCACTTGAGTGCAGGAGTCTAAGGTTGCAATCAGCTATGAACACATCACTGCACTCCAGCCTGTCTGACAGACTGAGATCCTGTCAAGGAAGGAAGGAGGGAGGGACAGAGGAAAGGAAGGAAAGAAGGCAAGAAGGCAGGAAGGAAGGAAAGAAGGAAGGAGTCATTCCTAAGAAACAGATGCGAGAAGAGATGGTCTTTCTGAAATGACATGCTCTGGATGGCAGAGCAGAATGATGGTAAGAACTTGGTTCGAACAATTGAGTTAACTAATTCAGGAGCTACCCTACTTTGGGACTTCTTTTTTTATTTTTTATTTTTATTTTTTGAGACAGAGTCTCGCTCTCTTGCCCAGGCCAGAGTGCAGCGGCACAATCTCGGCTCACTGGGGATAATGCTGCTATAAACATGGTTCTGCAAATTCCTGTTCATGTTTCTGCTTTCGATTCTTTGGAGATATAGCCAGTAGTAGAATTGCTGGGTCTTGTGGTAATTCTATATTTAAGTTTTTGAGGAAACAAGGTTTTTTTGGGTTTTTTTTTTTGAGACAGAGTCTAGTTCTGTAGCCCAGGCTGGAGTGCAGAGGCGTGATCTTGGCTCACTGCAACCTCTGCCTCCCAGGTTCAAGCGATTCTCATGCCTCAGCCTCCTGAGTAGCTGGGATTACAGGAGTGTGCCACCACACCTGGCTAATTTTTGTATTTTTGGTAGAGATGGGGTTTTGCCATGTTGGCCAGGCTGGTCTCGAACTCCTGACCTTAAGCAATCCGCCCGCCTTGGCCTCCCAAAGTTCTGGGATTATAGGTGTGAGCCACTGTGCCTGGCCAAGTTTTGTTTTTTCTTTTTTCTTCTTTTAACACAAAGAGCATTTCTTGTGTGTTTTTATGTAATCTACCCAGATAACCACCTGTGCCTGACAGCATCTCCTTTTTAACCCAAAAGCTGAATACATCGCTCTTGGAAGGAGAAATACCTTCCTTGCATCAGCAAGTCACCATCTCTCTTGCTAAAGCAGAGATAAAAATTTTTAATTTAATTCCAACAGGGCATTTTGCTACAGAGCATGGAGAGGGGAAGCAGAGTAAAGTTATGCTGAATAGTTGGACATTTAGGACATGAGATAAAAAGCAGAAGCAGAGAGACCAAGAGAAGGAAGAGAGGAACTGAATGTGGGACTTCAGCATGAAGATTCCCTAGAGTGGTCTTCAATAGAGAGTTCCTCCCTAGTCCTGGACTCCAGGAAGCCTGACTCATTTACAACATCTCCTCTTGTTTTCTACGAGATCTCGTCTTCCGTATTTCTCTCTGAGCATCTGTATACTAAGCCCTCAGTGTGTGACCGTCTATTCCTCACAATCAAACGAACACAGCTAAAACACAGTCTCATTCCCTCAGCCCCCACCAAACTGACAGCACCTTCATGTCAATGATATTGACTCACTTGGGCCCATTCTGTTGACCCAGTGACGTGGCATTCATCAGAGTAGTTGTCTCGATCCAGCTGAAGAGCTCCAAGTCAAATGGAGAAGCCAATGGAATGGGTAGGAAGTGGGATTGTCACCAGGCTGGGGCATGGAGATGGTGACATGGGATAAAGTAGGTACAGCAAACAGGACGTGAGGGCCAGAACCGACAGGCAGGTCAGGAGGGTGAGCTCAGGATCTCTGGAGGCCCCAGGAAGAAGGGGTAGGGACAGCACCTTGGCTCTGCCCACCTGCAGGAAGAGGAGAGGGGATGGTGGTAGAGTCTGTGATTGAAGATCTGTGTACTTCTCCCTGCCCATGCATAGCTCTTACCAAAACTCCCTCTTTTCACTGGCCTTTTTATCCAGTCAAACCAAATTTCCCTTGGCTCTCACTCGCTCTCTCGCTTTTTTTCATACCCACCCCCATTTCTCTTATGCCTGGAACAGTCTCCCACTTAGCATCTGCCTGCCCAGTTCTTTGCCTTCCTTTACAACTCCACCTACCACTTAGCTTCTCTGATTAAGTGAAAGTTGAATAATTATACTTCTTTCCCCAAAACACATCTCTGAAATCCCAAACATCCCTGAGGTTGCGATCTGTGAAGAAAGGTCTCTGATTGACTAATTTTCATTAAGGGAATTCAATGAGATGACTAATCATAAGCACCATGCCTGGCACCTAATAATGTTTAGTGAACTGAAGCTATTAATTAACAATGATATGTCATTAATAATAATAAAATAGTAATAGGATATAAGCTCTTAGAAGACAAGGACAGTGGCTACTCTATGCCCAGGTTCAGTAATCCAATATTCAAATATTTAATTATAGCAGAGATTGATAGGCTTTTCTGCCATGCCCAACTTCCCCCTCTAGCTCAACCTGAAATCAACAGACCTTCATATCCATAGCTGTGGCTTATTGTACCAGGGTGAACATCTGCCCAGGAGAGCCAGACTATTGGCTGGCCAGTGGTCAATTGGGACCTCTCTATTGAGAATATGAGCCAGGCACAGTGGCTCATGCCTGCAATCCCAGCACTTTTGGGAGGCCAAGGCAGGAGGATCTCTTGAGTCCAGGAGTTCAAGACCAGCCTGGGCAGCATAGCAAGACCCCATCTCTAAAAAAATAAAGAAGATTTTAAATTAGCCAGGCATGGTAGTGTGTGCTTGTAGCCCAGCTACTTGGGAGGCTGAGGTCGGAAGATTGCTTGAGCCAGGAGTTTATTTGCAGAGACGAGGTTATCCTATGTTGCCCAGGCTGGTCTCAAACTCCTGGGCTCGAGCAATCCTCCCACCTTGGCCTCCCAGAGTGGTGGGAAAGCAAACATGAGCCACCACGCCCAGCCCCAGCTCTGCCATCTATATGGTGTTACCCTCATCAGCATGGTCCTAAGTGGTTCCCACCAGGACTCAATTCTAAACAGAAGGCTGGAAGAAAAAGGAAAGGAGAAAGAAGGGGCATGTTCCTCCCTTGAAGGGCATGATCTATCACTGCCACTTGCTGGTCATTGGCCGGAGCTTAGTCATGCAGTCACACCTACCTGCAGTAGAAGGTGGGAAATGCAGTCCTTATTCTGTTGACCATGTTCCCCACCGAAAATCAGGACAACCAAATTGAGGACAACCAAGAATTCCTGCCACCAGTACAAATGAAACAGTCCTCTGACCTGGAACTGAATGACTAGCCTGTCCTACACGTGGAAGGAACTCTGGGTTCCCAGGGGATCTGGGCGGCTATGAAACGTATAACATAGCTCAGCCAGGAAAAAGCTCCCAGAAGAGAATTTATTTGTCTGGGAAGGTACAGGCAAAAAATGACCATTCTGCATTTTTCCGAGGGAAAGAGGCCCAACCAACCTCATGTGGTTTGTTCTGTCCAGCTTGGCACTGACAGAGGCTGGTGGGGGCTAGGGGAGGGTCTGAAAGTTCAGGGTCTCAGGTATGAACTATTGCTCTGACCAGGTGCTAGGTTGTGTCCTGTAGGAATGTGCTGGGTCCCTAGATGACCTCAGAGGTCACTGATTTCACAAGATCCACAAACAATTCAATATTCAAATATTTAACTGTAGCAGAGATGGATAGATTTTTTTCTGCCATGCCCAACCTCCCCCTCTAGCTCAACCTGAACGCAACAGACCTTCATATCTATAGCTGTGGCTTATTGGACCAGGGTGGACAGGGTGGATCAGCCTTCCCTGATCCACCAGCTGAAAGAGAGTTATGCTCTCCTCTGAGGCTCCACCATACCTGGAATAGACATCTCTTGGTAGCACCATGCTTCCTATGTTTTCAGTTGATATGGCTTAGGTCAAGCTGTCCCCATCCACAAGTCCCAGGGGTGGGTCCAGGACACAGTCCTAGACAATCAAAGCATATTTTCTCCTGGCTACTGTGCTTTGTTCAAGAGCAGGCACATGATTCAGGTTGGTCTAATATGAGTCTTGGAATTTTGGCTAAAATCATTGAAAAAGTGGTGCTCTTTGAGCTGGAGTTGCTAAGCTGGCAGGTTATGTGCCTAAAGCTCTTGGTGGCCATCATGCCAGCAGGGAATGAAGTTGACTTAGAGGAAACCAGAGGGAAATGATGGAGGGATTTCTGACGACATCATTTGAACACCCTGATCAAGCCATACCTGCAACCTCGACTAGATTTAGGTACCGGTAACCTCCCTTTATTGCTTAAACCAATTGGAGCAGGCATGCCTATCACTTTTTCACTTTTGACCAAAAGTCTTGGCTAACCTAGCATCTATGTGTCCCTTCATAACATAGCTTCTCACTTTGTAGCTGATGTTGCAATTATTGCTGAGCACATTTCATGGATCCTCTTTGGCTATGAGAAATTTTTTTTTTTTTTTTTTTTTTTTTTGAGACAGAGTCTCACTCTGTCGCCTAGGCTGGAATGCAGTGGTGTGATCTCAGGTCACTGCAACCTCTGCCTTCCGGGTTCAAGCGATTCTCCTGCCTCAGCCTCCCAAGTAGCTGGGACTACAGGTGCATGCCACCATGCCTGGCTAATTTTTATATTTTTGTAGAGACAGGGTTTCACCACGTTGGCCAAGCTGGTCTCAAACTCCTGACCTCAAGTGATCTGTCTGCCTCAGCCTCCCAAAGTGCTGGGAGTACAGGCATGAGCCACCATGCCCAGCTGACTATGAGATCTTGAAACCAGAATTCCTCCTAGGTGCCAGGCACAACTCAGATGTTTGGGGAATACTTGGTGAATGAGTGGATAGATCGATGGATGGATGGATGGATGGACTGATGGATGGAAATAATTAAGATAATACATGTTCCTCCAGAACGTCAAGTCCCCAAATTGCAGCCTATGCTTCTCCAGGCCTTTCTCAGAATCTTTGCCCCATCCTTGTGTTCATTCATCCAGGCAATACATGTTTATTGATCACTATGATGTGTGAGGCTCTGTGCCAGGGAATGTGTGGTGCAGTGGTGCAGAGCCTGTGCTCTGGAGTCATATGGACCTGGATTTGAACCCCATCTCTGCCGCTTAATCTTCATGTGACCCTGGACAACTTGCTTAACATCTCTGAACCTTGATTTCTTCATATATAAAATGAGCGTTAGTGGTATTTTCTCCGTAGACTTGTTGTGAGAATAACCAAGATAAAATGACCACTTATTATGTGCCCTTTACAAATGTTAGCTGTAATTATGCTCTTGCCTTCCAATTTAACTAGCTAGATAGGTAGGCAAGTAGGGAGAGAGAGAGAGAGAGAGAGAGAGAGAGGGAGAGGGAGAGGGAGAGGGAGAGGGAGAGAGAGAGAGAGAGAACAGCAAACAAATGCGTTTTTTTCTCTCTCTCATAATTTGTGGAAGATATACTTGTCTAGACCAGTGATTCTCAACTAGGGGTGACTGTGTGCCCCAAAGACGTTTGGCAATGTCTGGAGACATTTTAGTTGTCATGACTGAGGGAGTGCTACTGGCATCTACAGCCAGAGTTGCTGCTAAAGTATAGGACAATCCCCGTGACAAAGAAATGTCTGGTCCCAGTATGCACAGTGGCTGGGACAGGCATAGTGGCTCATACCTGTAATCCCAGCACTTTAGGAGGCCGAGGCAGGAGGATTGCTTGAGCCCAGGAGTTCAAAACCAGCTTAGGCAATATGGGGAGACCCTATCTCTACAGAAAATACAAAAAAATTAGCCGGGCATGGTGGTGTGTGCCTGTAGTCACAGCTACTTGAGAGGCTGAGGTGGGAAGATAGCTTCAGCCCAGGAGGTTGAGGCTGCAGTGAGCCATGATCGTGTACTGCACTCCAGCCTGGGCCATAGAGTGAAACCCTGTCTCAAAAACAACAAAAACAAACAAAAAACAAAACAAAACAAAAGTCCACAGTGCCTAGGCTGAGAAATCCTGGTCTATAATGCGTTGACATCTTTGAAATCAAGTACCACAGTCCAAGGTACATAGTAGGTGCTCAGTGAATGTTTGACAACCACATGAATGAATGAATGAATCAATCAATCAATCACAGAATGAATGAATCACCAAATGAATGAATGATTATATAGTTCATTTTTCGTTTGGCTGAGTGCCTGGGACCGGGCTGTATCTGAGCAGCTGTTCAGTAAATGGTTATTGACAAGTTCCTGTAAACATCCCCCTCCAAAGCAGTTGGGGAGCAAGATCCTGGCGGGTGAACACCCAGCCTCACAGCTATGGTTCCAGGTCATGATAAATTGCTGTGGGAAGCCACAGAGCAGACAGCTCATCACACATTGTGATGGATTCATTGTCTTATCTTGTGGCCCCCTTTATCTCAAACTCTCAGCAGAGAAGGATATAAAGGGGCTGAGCTGAGCGAGAGCCTGTGGATGCTGCTCTTCAGGAAAAGGAGGGGAAAATCAGCCCAGACTGGGGATCATCATTAACAGGAGCCGGTTAGAATTAGAGATGGGGGTGCGGATGGTGGTGGGACTCTCTTCATCCCCACACCCTATCTAATTCATTTATTCAACAAATATTTATTGAGTACCAGAGACTCTTTGGGGATACGTGAATTAATAAAACAGACAAAACCCCTACCCTGTTGGAATTTATATTTTAAAGAAGCAGGATGAACAATGGACACATAAGTCGGACATACTGTATATGAGGAGCCCTGTACACTAGGAGAAAAATCAGGCAGGGAGGGAAGATAAGGCGTGTTTGGGGTTGAGCTTTTCCATTGAGGTGAAATTCACATAACATGAAATTAACCATTTAAAAGTGAACAATTTGCTGGTGCGCGGGCTCAGGCCTATAATCCCAGTACTTTGGGAGGCTGGGACGGGAGGATTGCTTGATCCCACGAGTTGGAGACCAGCTGGGCAACATGACAAGACACCATCTCTATTTTTGTTACTGTTTGTTTGTCTGTTTGTTTTGAGACCAAGTCTCACTCTGTTACCCAGGCTGGAGTACAGGCGTGATCTCAGCTCACTGCAACCTTTACCTCCTGGATTCAAGTGATTCTCGTGCCTCAGCCTCCCGAGTAGCTGGGACTACAGGCATGAGCCACCACACTCGGCTAATTTTTGTATTTTTTTAGTAGAGACAGAGTTTCACCAGAGTTCAAGTCCAGGCTGGTCTCCAACTCCTGACCTCAGGTGATCCACCTGCCTCGGCCTCCCAAAGTGTTGGGATTACAGATGTGCGCCACCGTGCCCGGCCTCTATTTTTTTTTTAAGTGAACAATTTAGTGGCATTTAGTTCATTCACAATGTTGTGCAACCACTATCTCTGTCTAGTTCCAGAACATTCTCATTGTCCCAGAAGGAAACCCCATACCCATTAAGGAGTCCCTCTCCATTCCCCCTTCCTGCAGCCCCTGGTAACCACCAGTTTTCTTTCTCTGTATGGATTTGTCTGTTTTTGGATATTTCACATAAATGGCGTCATACACTATGTGGCCTTCTGTCACTAGCTCCTTTCACAAGAAGCTCACCTTGTTTTCAAGATTCATTCATGTTGTAGCATGTGCCTTTCATTCCTTTTTATGGCTGAACAAAATTGAATTGCATGGATAGACCACATTTTTTTAATTCATTCATCTGTTTAGGGACATCTGAGTTGTTTCCATCTTTGGCTATTGTGAATAGTGCTACTATGAACATTCAGGTTACAAGTATCTGTTTGAGGCTGGGTGCAGTGGCTCATGCCTGTAGTCCCAGCACTTTGGGAGGCTGAGATGGATGGATCGCTTGAGGTCAGGAGTTCGAGACTAGCCTGGCCAACACAGTGAAACTCCGTCTCTACTAAAAATTAAAAAATAAAAATAAAAAATCTTGTGTTTGAATCCCTGTTTCCAATTCTTTTGGGTAAAAACCTAAGAGTGGAACTGCTGTGTCATATGGTAATTCTATGTTTAACTTTTTGAGGGATGGCCAAACTGTTTTCTACAGCAGCAGCATCATTTTACATTCCTATCAGTGATATACAAAGGCTCCAATGTCTTTATCTTCTCACCAATACTTGTTATTTTTGAGAGAGAGTCTCGCTGTGTCACCCAGGCTGGAGTGCAGTGGTGCGATCTCAGCTCACTGCAACCTCCACCTCCCGGATTCAAGTGATTATAGTGTCTCCTGAGTAGCTGGGATTACAGGGACCTGCCACCACGCCCAGCTACTTTTTGTATTTTTAGTAGAGACCAGGTTTCGCCATGTTGGCCAGGCTGTCTTGAACTCCTGACCTCAGGTGATCTGCCCACCTCGGCCTCCCAAAGTGCTGGGATTACAGGCGTGAGCCACCGCGTCTGGCCTCCATTTTAAAACTAATAATCGACCTAGTGAAATGAAGTCGTATGTCATGTGGTTTGGTTGGCGTTTCCCTAATACAAATTATTATGTGGTAAGCATCTTTTCATGTGGTCATTGGCCATGTGTATATCTTCTTAGATAAATGTCTATTCAAGTCCTTTGCTCACGTGTGACTTGGGTTGTCTTTTTGTCATTGAGTTAGAAGCATGGGGTTTTATTTATTTATTTATTTATTATTTTTGAAACAGAGTCTCACTCTTGTCGCCCAGGCTGGAGTGCAGTGGCGCAATCTCGGCTAACTGTAACCTCCACCTCCCGGGTTCAAGTGATTCTCCTGCCTCAGCCTCCTGAGTAGCTGGGATTACAGGCGCCTGCCACCACAGCTGGCTAATTTTTGTACTTTTAGTAGAGACAGGGTTTCACCATGTTGGCCAGGCTGGTCTCGAACTCTTGACTTCAGGTGATCCACCCACCTTGGCCTCCCAAAGTGCTCCCAAATTACAGGCTTGAGCCACTGTGCCCGGCCTTATTTATTTATTTTTTGAGACAAGGTCTCACTCTATCACCCAGGCTGGAGTGCAGTGGCACAATCATGGCTCACTGCAGCCTCAACCTCCTTGGCTCAAGCAATCCTCCCACCCACCTCAGTCTCTTGTGTAACTGGGACCACAAGCATGTACCACCACACCAGGCTAATTTTTGTATTTTCTATAGAGCCCAGGTTTTATCATGTTGCCCAGGCTGGTCTCAAACTCCTGGTCTCAAGTGTTCTTCCTGCCTCAGCCTCCCAAAGTGCTAGGATTAATAGTTGTGAGCCATGATGCCCAGCCTAAACTTTTAAATAGGGTGATCAGAAAAGATCTCCCTAAGATGATGACTTTTAAGTGAAGACCTTAAGAAGGTGAGAGGGTGAGCCAAGGAGATAACTGGGAAGAGCATTCCAGGCAGAGAGGACAGCAAATACAAAGATCCTGAGGCAAATCACTTTCATTTGTCTGTAACTCTGTTTTCCTGTCTGCAAATGGGGAGGAATAAGACCATGAAGCATCCCAACAAATGGTGGCAAATTATCAACACCTGGGCTCGCCCACTGCTCTTGCTCTTAAGCAAGATACTTAATGAATGTCTCAGAGCTTCAGTTTGCTCACCTGTAAAATGGTGATAATAACTGTACCAATCTCACAGTGTTGTCAGGAGAATTAAAAGACATATGCTTTGCCAGGGCCTGGCACACAGTAGTGTTCACAAATGTAGGGTTTGAACCCAGACTAGGAGGACTTCCAGTCCTGAGGGGTGATCATAGCTCACTGCAGCCTCGACTCCCCAGGCTCAGTGATCCTCCCACCTCAGCCTCTCAAGTAGCTGGGACTACAGGGCATCTGCCACCATGCCCAGCTAATTTTTGTATTTTTTGTAGAGACAAGTTTCACCATGTTTCCTAGGCTGGTCTCAAACTCTTAGGGTCAAGTGATGTGCCTGCCTTGGCCTCCCAAAGTGCTAGGATTACAGGCATCAGCCACCATGCCTGGCCCCTCTTCTTTTTTTCAGACAGAGTTTCGTTCTTGTTACCCAGACTGGAGTGCAATGGTGCAATCTCGGCTCACCGCTACCTCCACCTCCTGGGTTCAAGCGATTGTGCTGCCTCAACCTCCCGAGTAGCTGGGATTACAGGCATGTGCCACGATGCCTGGCTAATTTTGTATTCTCAGTAGAGACTGGGTTTCTCCATGTTGGTCAGGCTGGTCTCGAACTCCCGGCCTCAGGTGATATGCCCGCCTCAACCTCCCAAAGTGCTGGGATTACAGGCCTGAGCCGCTGCGCCCAGCTTTGCTTCGCTTCTCCCCTCCCATTCCCTCCCCTGCTCCTCTCCCCTCCCTTTCCTCTTCCTTTCCTCTTTCTTTTCTTTTCTTTTGAGTTAGAGTCTCACTCTGTTGCCCGGGCTGGAATGCAGTGGCACAATCATGGCTCACTGCAGCCTTGAACTCATGTGCTCAAGCGATCCTCCTGCCTCAGCCTCCCAAGTTGGGATTACAGGCATGAGCCACTGCACTTGGCTCAGTTCCCCTCATTTCTGTGAGAGAGTCTAA
Organism: Homo sapiens; assembly: GCF_000001405.40. Lineage (NCBI taxonomy): Eukaryota > Metazoa > Chordata > Mammalia > Primates > Hominidae > Homo > Homo sapiens. Next base: position 110,098,249 of record NC_000012.12, read on the forward strand.
AGGGTTTCATGGTGGGGAAGCCTGTGGTCCATCCTGACTGCCTCCCTATGTTTTCCCCTATCTATGTTTTTAAAAGCATAATTTAACCAGCCTGGCCAACATGGTGAAACCCCATCTCTACTAAAAATGCAAAAAATTAGCCGGGTGTAGTGGCGGGCACCTGTAATCCCAGCTACTCAGGAGGCTGAGACAGAAGAGGTTCAAGTGAGGCGAGATTGCACCATTGCACTCCAGCCTGGGCAACGAGAGAGAAACTCCATCTCAAAAAAAAAAAAAAAGCATAATTACTTAGATTCTAACATCAAGCAGGGAGATTAGAGTCTGAATCCCAGCTTTCACCGAATGACCTTGGGCAAATGTCTTAACCTCTTTGAACTAATTTCTTCATCTGTGCCTCAATATTGTGGACAGGATTCAAGATCATATTGTGTCAACAGGAGAATTAACAGAGATAACGCAAGTGAGTATCACCAGCACGTGACAGGTGCTCAAAAAAAAAGTATTCCTGGTCAGACATGGTGACTCACGACTGTAATCCCAGCACTTTGGGAGGCCGAGGCGGGTGGATCATCTGAGGTCAGAAGTTCAAGACCAGCCTGACCAACATGGAGAAACCCCGTCTCTACTAAAAATACAAAATTAGCCGGGGTGGTGGCGCATGCCTGTAATCCCAGCTATTCAGGGAGGCTGAGGCAGGAGAATCGCTTGAACCCGGGAGGCGGAGGTTGCAGTGAGCCGAGATCATGCCATTGCACTCCAGCCTGGGCAACAAGGGTGAAACTCCGTCTCAAAAAAAAAAGTCTTCCCTCCACTATGGCTTCATCGTGTGTCTGCCCAGCAAATATGATTCGGGGCAATCAAAAAACACAAGATTATTTTAAATAGATCATCTTCAACACAAATTACCACAGTGTTTTGCTTTGTTTTGTTTTTTGGTGGCGAATAGATTGTGGGCCTTGGGGGGCGTCTCAAGTGAGTGCTCAGATCCCAGCTTCTGTGCTTTATTGGCTGTTGGACCTCCGGCGAGTGTCTTAACCTGTCTGAGCTTTAGTTTCCTGGCCTAACTTACAAAGTAGTTGTAAGAATCCAAGATAATTTTCGTAAAGCACCTAGCACCCAAGAGGACTTTGGGCCTTATGGGGCCGCAGTAGTTATCCAGCTATGAAAAAAAGGACAAAAGGCCAGGCACAGTGGCTCATGCCAGTAATTCCAGCACTTTGGGAGGCCGAGGCGGGTGGATCACTTGAGGTCAGGAGTTCGAGACCAGCCTGGCCAACATGGCAAAAACCTGTCTCTACTAAAAATACAAAAATTAACCAGGCGTGGTGGCACACGCCTGTAATCCCAGCTACTCTGGAGGCTGAGGCAGAATAACTTGAACCCAGGAGGCGGAGGTTGCAGTGAGCTGATATCACTCCACTGCACTCCAGCCTGGGCGACACAGTGAGACTCTGTCTCAAAAAAAAAAAAAAAAAAAAAAAAAGGACAAGAAACCCGAGCAGTTTGGGTGGCAAAGGAAGACCAGGAGAGAGAAATTCCAATCAGGCTATTTAGAAACGCCATGCAGAGCTGGGCACAGTGGCTCACACTTGTAATCCCAACACTTTGGGAGGCTGAGGCGGGCAAATCACAAGGTCAGTAGTTCAATTCCAGCCTGGCCAATATGGTGAAACCCCATCTCTACTAAAAATACAAAAATTAGCCAGGCATGGTGGCGGGCGCCTGTAATCCCAGCTACTCGGGAGGCTGAGGCAGGAGAATTGCTTGAACCTGGGAGGCAGAGGTTGCAGTGCGCCGAGATCATGCCACTGCATGCCAGCCTGGGCAACAGAGCAAGACTCTGTCTCAAAAAAAAAAAAAAAAAGAAAAGAAAAGAAAAGAAAGAAATGCTGTGCAGAGCCTAGTGAGAGTGAAATCAAAATCAACGAGTTTCCAGCCTTATTTTTCTCCCTCTAGAAAGAGCTAGGGATCAGGAATCTCAAATTTGGACTTCACTTTGTCCAAAGCTAACTCTGTGCCCTTGAGCAAATCTCTTCCCCTCTCTGTGCCTCAGTTTTCCAGGAATCCCTTTGTAAAGACCCTTTCCTCTCTGAAACCATGGTGGTACTGCTACTGACCAGCAGAGGGCAGTGATGCACCAACATTCTCTATGGATCTGCGTTGCTTTTGTCTGGCCTTGGACAAGAACATTTAAATAATTAGTTAGTGGTCTGTGTCACTCTTTTTCAAAGAGCCTTATTTTATCCTCAGCGCATAGTCAGAATAAGGTCTTGCCACAGTGCACAGATGAGGAAGTAGAGCCTCAGAAGCATAAGAAACTTAACCGGTAATTTTGGTCACACCACATCCTAAATTTAGACTATCAGAATGGTATGAACACATTGCTGTATGTCTGGGCTGCATGGCATCGATAATCCATTACCTGCTTTATGGTTCATGAAGCACTTTCTGATCCTCAATATCAGAATTCTCATCTTATTCTCCTCCAGTTTACAGGTGAGCAAACAGTGGCCTCTAGAGGTTATGTCATTTGGCTTAGCATTTTCTTGTTCTTTTTTTTCTCCAGGTGTTTTTTTGTTTGTTTGATTGTTTGTTTGTTTTGAGACAGAGTCTTGCTCTGACACCTAGGCTGGAGTGCAGTGGCGCAATCTCGGCTCAGTGCAACCTCCACCTCCTGGGTTCAAGCGATTCTCAGGCCTCAGCCTCCCGAGTAGGTGGGACTACAGGCAAGAGCCACCACGCCTGGCTAATTTTTGTATTTTTAGTAGAGACAAGGTTTCACCATGTTGGCCAGGCTGGTCTCAAACTCCTGACATCAGTTGATACACCTGCCTCAGCCTCCCACAATGCTGGGATTACAGGCGTGAGCCACCAAGCCCCTCCTCTTCAGGTTTTATTTATTTATTTTAGCAACAGGGTCTCACTATGTTGCCCAGGCTGGCCTCAAACTCCTGGCTTCAAGTGATCCTCCCACCTTGGCCTCCCAAGTAACTGGGATTTACAGCAGTGAGCCACTGCACCCGGCACTAGCATATTCACAATCAGCTCCATCTTACAGACTGGTTGACTCCCAGAAATATTAGCTTAACAACAGAACCTGGCGTTCTGCAGTTTTTATGTGATGAAATGTAGTGAGTGAGTGCTCATCCAAATATTGCTCCTTGTTTTGGAAAAGGAATTAAGCCCCTTTCCCTGTCTCAGCAGCCACACCATTATTAGCAATCCCATAGGAAACTGGAATAGCTTTACATAGACAGTGGTTCTCAAAAAGGACTATCAAATGACACACCTGTCCCCAACTCCAGATTCTGATATCCACACCCCAAACATCCAATCACTGGTTTTGATGGTCTTTTGACGTTGTTGTTTGTTTGTTGTTATAGTTTTTGTTTTTGTTTTGAGATGGAGTCTCGCTCTGTCGCCCAGGCTGGAGTGCAGTGGCACGATCTCAGCTCACTGAAACTTCCACCTCCCAGATTCAAGTGATTCTTCTGCCTCAGCCTCCCGAGTAGCTGGACTACAGGCGTGCACTACCATAAATTTTTTTTTTTTTTAGACAGAATTTTGCTCTTGTCACCCAGGCTAGAGTGCAGCGGCACGATCTCAGCTCACTGCAACCTCCGCCTCCCAGGTTCAAGAGATTCTCCTGCCTCAGCCTCCCGAGTAGCTGGGATTACAGGCGCCCGCCACCATGCCTGGCTAATTTTTGTATTTTTAGTAGAGACAGGGGTTTCACCATATTGGCCAGGCTGGTCTGGAACTCCTGACCTCAGGTGATCTTCCTACCGCGGCCTCCCAAAGTACTGGGATTACAGGTGTGAGCCACCGCGCTCGGCCTTGTTTGTTGTTTTGATCTGTTTGTGTGTGCTATGTCATCAACAGACTCCTGGGTTGGATAAGATGCTGTAACAGAAAAGTGCAACTCAAATTAGCTTAAACACGTAAACATTAGGAAAATTTCCACCTCACCTAACAAGTAAACTGCAAGGTAGCAAAGGTAGCTACTAAACAACAGCAGCAGCTTCTCTCCATTTTTTCACCTTCATCACGATGGGCAAAAGTGCCCTTTAGTGTGAGTCCCCCTCATGGATACAAGATGGCAACTGCATTCCCAAGCATGGCAGCCACAAGGGGGCAACACCCAAAGGAAGATAAAAGGCCTCTTCCTTGTGTCTCTTTATAAAAGGAACTACCCACCCCAGCTGATTTGCTCTCACATCTCATTGGCCAGAAATGGATCACGTGGCCCTGCCTAAACCAATCACTAGCCAGGGAATGAGATTGACATGAAGGCTTAGGCCTCTGGATCTCAACCAGCGGTGATTTTATCCTGGAGGGGACATTTGGTACTGTCTGCTCACATTTTTGATTGCCACAACTGAGGGCAGGATACTACTAGCAGCTACTGAGTAGAGGCCAGGGATGCTGCTAAAATCTTACGATGCAGGACAGCCCCACAGCAAAGAATTATTTGGCTTTTTAAAAAAGTTTTTCTTTCTCTTCTTAGGTATAGACTACCACGTAAACTGTGATTTGAAATATTGCTACTACTTGGCTGTCCCTACATCAGATTTTCATTTAAGTGGATTCCTCTGTAGTATTTCTCCTCTTCCTTCTCCTCCTTGAATCTCCCCAGTCTTTCCTTTTATAAAGTTGTTGAACCAATATCCTATTTAAAATTGTGTTTTGGGGGTAGCTGTCTTTATTACTGTCACTGTCTTATAAAACCAGAGATGACATATTTGTAAACAGAGCTTGAGAAATGAACGAGGCCCAGTGGAAGCAGAAAATTTGATGAGATTAGATTTTTTGTGAGACAGGGGTCTCGCTATGTTGCCCAGGCTGGTCTTGAACTCCTGGCTTCAAGCAATCCTTTCACCTTGGCCTTCCAAAGTGCTGGGAATCCTTGCGTGAGCCACTGCGCCTGGCCTTACCTGGCCTAAAATGTCAGCAGTGTTGGAAGGTGAGAAACCCTGGCATAGACCGATTCACTAGAGGATTCTTTCTCTACTGCAGGGCTTGGGGCTGGTATCTGCCCTCCATGAAGCACATAACTACAAGGAGGAGGGAGGACACCACACAAAATTGAGGTTCAGAGAATTTGAAAGAAGAACTTGGCGGGGGCTGGCTTTTGGGAAGGGGACCAAAAGTCTCTGAAGCCCTGATGCTGTGAATTTAGCTCCCAGCAGGCTCTAAGGAGCTCTGACACCGTGTGCCCTGCTGCTGGGAGTTAGGAATAGCACAGAATCAACACTTGGCCCTTGCCCTCACATTGCTTATAGGCCAGCTGTTTAAGCCAGACTGGCATTACTTCCTTTTTGCTATTATCGTTTATAGTGTTTCTTCATGGTAGAAAATACAGAAAGGAATACGGAAACAAAGCCAGAATCGCTCATACTCCTACCACTCAGAGAGAACCACACTAACATTTTGTTTCCTTTCAAATTTGGTACTGTTTTCTAATTATCACAATTCACACAAATTATCTCCTCATTCTTTCATTCAGTCCACAGCTATAGAGCTGAGTGCTGGTGTGTGCGGTTCAGATTCTCACTGCACTGAGAGTACCCAGAAGAACAAGTTCACTGGAGTTCAGAGCAGTTAGATGTGGGAGACTTGACTTGGGCAACCTGAATGGAGAAAGAGGGAATAAGGATGGCTTCCACAGAGCAGAAGGGCCTGCACCAGGAAGATTGCAGGTATTGTAGATATCTGGTTCTTTGACTTATTCAGCATTCATTCCTCACTTCTTTTTTTTTCCTTTTTCTTTTTCTTTTTTTTTTTTTAAGATGGAGTCTCGCTCTGTCACCCAGGCTTGAGTGCAGTGGTGAGATCTCGTTTTACTGCAACCTCCACCTCTGGGGTTCAAGTGATTCTCGTGCCTCAGCCTCCCGAGTAGCTGGGAAGGCGCGCGCCACCAGGCCCGGCTAATTTTTGAATTTTTAGTAGAGACGGGGTTTCACCATATTGGCCAGGCTGGTCTTGAACTCCTGACCTCAGGTGACCCGCCCACTTCGGCCTCCGAAAGTGCTGGGATTAAAGGCGTGAGGTACCGTTCCGGCCTCATTCCCCACTTCTGAGAAGAGCACCTGGCTTTCCTTTGGAGGAGTCATTCCTTCCCCACCATCAGCCCTCAGCTCCTGCTTGGGTGCAGCTAACCCTACCCCTCGGTTCCAGGTGGTCACATGACCCAACTCTGGTCAATCCCTCCCACCAGTGATTGGCTCACAGCTGGGCACATGACTAGATCAGGCCAATCAAGACCAAGGAGACTCTGTTCCATCTGTGGGGCCTGCCTAGAAAGGGAAACTCTCTCTCCATTGGATTTGGAGCTATAAGGATGAAGCCTGGAGCTGCTGGTGGCTGCTTTTCTATCAGGAGCAGAGAGAGGATACTGGGAAATAAAGCCAACACGGTAAAGGGAATAGCTGAGAGATGGAGGAAGTGTGACCACCCTGAGGGAAACCTTGGAGCTTCTCCAGCCAGTTGTATTGAAGTCCATGGCTTCTACGGATTTCCAGTTACGTAATCGAATCAATTGCCTTTTTTGGCTTAAGCCAGTTTCAGTTAACTTTCTGTCTTTTGCAACTGAAAGTTCAGACATACTGTTTGCTAGAGTAATGGAAAAAATGGACTCAGAGGCAAGAAGGACTTTGCTCTGACATTAACCAGCTGTGTCCTTGGGTAAAATCACTTCATCTTCCAGATTCAATTCTCTAGAATGAAGGAAATAATACGTTCCTCTTGGGTGGCTGGAAGAATTGAATGACCTCCTGTGGCTGGCAGTGCTTTGTGAACGTGAAGGGAAATATAAATGCAAGGAGTTCTTATAAATGGCAGGGATAATTTTAGGAAAGAGGTTTCAGATGAGCTTAAAAGGATGGCGGGCTCCAAGGTAAACTCAGATGCTGTAGCAACCAGGTGGTGATGGAAGCCTGTGAAGTGGTGGCAGGTATAAGGAAGTTCAGGGGCCTTTCTGGTCTACTCTTTCCTTTTCTCTTTGATACATTTGTGAGACAAAGGAGTATTACTGTAAGAAAAATGGCAGCACAAACGTGATGATCACCATCAACTGACACTGGCTTTAGGATCAGAGACAACAGGGAGTGGTGGGGACTGTGGCAGACTGGACAGTGCATGTCCCATTGTAAGCAAGCAGGCTTCCTCAGCTCCAGCCAATCTATGCCACACAGTATGGCCAGATTTGCTAATTTTTCTTTTCTTTCTTTTTTTTAATAGAAAAGTGGGAAATATCTTTTAATGTTTGAGTATTTTCTTAAAATTTTCCTTTTTTTTTCTTTTTGAGGCAGAATCTTCCTCTGTTGCCCAGGCTGGAGTGCAGTGCCATGATCTCACCTCACTGCAACCTCTGCCTCCTGGGTTCAAGCGATTCTCCTGCCTCAGCCTCCCAAGTAGCTGGGACCACAGGCACACGCCACCACACCTGGCTAATTTTTTTGTGTTTTTGGTAGAGATGGGGTTTCACCATATTGGCCAGTCTGGGCTCGAACTCCTGACCTCAAGTGATCCGCCTGCCTTGGCCTCCCAAAGTACAAGGATTACAGGTGTGAGCTACCACACCTGGCCAGATTTAACATTTTTTTGACTTAACACATTAATATAATAAAGGAATATGGCTCCCTTATTAACATAAATATAGTTTTAAAATATTCTTTTCATGAAGTTAACTGTGTTTATTTAGCCATTTTCTTAGCTTTTGCCATCATGGTTCTTGGAGAATTTTTTCTGTAATTGCTGCAGTGAGCTTGGAGATCACAGATGTATATAATTTAAATATTACTTCCTCAGGTTTATTCTTAGAAGTAGTATTACCAAATCAAAAGTTCTCAACATTTCTCAGGGTACTGCAATTTTTACATTGCATATCAAAACTGTTGTTACTGAAATCTGCATTCCTTTCATCAGTTCACAGAAATTTGCAATCACAGACATCTTTAGATCTATGTCCAGCTGCGTTCATTTCACATATTCAGAAATGAAGCCTAAAGATCTGAACCCAGAAGCCAGACCTCCAGACTGCCAGTCAGTTTCCTCCCCCATCCACTCTGATTTATTAAGCAGTTAGGCTGGCCCTTCCCGACCCTTCCTACACAGTGGCAGAGCTTTTGCTCCTCTACCCACTGGAATCTACACTGGTCCCAGCCCCTCATTCAACTCCCGTGGGACGCCAAGCAATACGGAGTTCGGAGTTTGAGAAGCACGGAAATCTCCTGAACCCCACCACGAGTCCACACTAGGCTGTGAGTCTACCACAGGGTCTCAAACCAGAAAGTGGAAAAAGTAATTTTTCAAGGCAGCCTGGAAATCCAGATTTTTATGTAAAATGCCTCAATTTTATTTATTTATTTTATTTTATTATTATTTTTTGAGATAGAGTCTCTCTCTGTCGCCCAGGCTAGAATGCAATGGCACAATCTCGGCTCACTGCAACCTCCACCTCCCAGGTTCAAGTGATTTTCCTGCCTCAGCCACCCAAGTAGCTGGGACTACAGGCACATACCACCATGCCCTGCTAATTTTTATAATTTTAGAAGAGATGAAGTTTCACCATATTGTTCAGGCTGGTCTCGAACTCCTGACCTCAGGTGATCCACCCACCCCGGCCTCCCAAAGTGCTGGGATTACAGGCGTGAACCACTGCGCCTGGCCAGAGACAGGGTTTCACCATGTTGGCCAGGCTGATCTTGAACTCCTGACCTCAGGTGATCTGCCTGCCTTGGCCTCCCAAAAATGCCTCAATTTTAAACGTTGGTTCTTTTTTAAAAATACTCTATGAGCAAAGTACAGCTTATCTATCTAATTTAGCTAGTTTGTGGTCCCCTGTGTAGGTGCAGAGATGGATCTTGGGAGAATGAGAGGGTTGCTGGCAGGGAGATGTCCTTACAAAAAACAAGAAACAAGGCAGAGGGTTCACATCCTCTTCTGAAAACAAATGTGTAGCAATTCCATAAACTTTCCTATACATTAAATCCTCACATCAACCCTGTGAGTTAGGGCAGGTTAACTCCATCATGCAAATGGGGAAACCAAGGCCAACCAGCTAACCGGTAGCCCTTCAAGTCTGTGCTCTTTACTTCCTCACTGATGGAACTCAAGTCAGAGCTGACTTTGAAGATCACTAAGAAGCTCAAGACAATGCAAGGAAAATGAACACTTTTGCTTAAAGAAGGCCAACCTGGCTTTGTTCCCCACTGCACCACTGGTAGTCTCCTAAAAAGTGCACCACTTTTTAGTCTCCTTGCCTTAAGGTGAATGTAACCAATGGGCACCACTTTGATGATGTCACAGCCATGTAGTGCACGGCTTGCATCTCCCTCTAGAGAGTCTGCACGGCCGGGTGCAGTGGCTCATGACTATAATCCCAGCACTTTGGGAGGCTGAAATCACTTGAGGATCACTTAAGGTCAGGAGATCGAGACCAGCCTGGCCAACATGATGAAACCCTGGCTCTACTAAAAAATACAAAAATTAGCCAGGCGTGGCGGCATGCGTCTGTGGTCCCAGCTACTCAGGAGGCTGAGGCATGAGAATCACTTGAACCCAGGAGGTTGAGGCTGCAGTGAGCTGTGATCATGGCACTGCATTCCAGCCTGAGTGACAGAGTGAGACCTTGTCTTAAAAAAAAAGAGAGTCTGCACGGAGAGCACAGTTGACTCACAGTCCTCATTCCCATTCCTCTGGATCCACCAAGTTCACGCCAAGGCCATATTTCCTCAGATGGCTCCTAGCCAATGACAGCACAGCGGGGGTGGTAGCACAGCCCCACTGCTGCTGACCTGAGATTCATCCTACCAGTGACTTTGTTCAGGAAGCCCTCATCAGTCCAGCCAAAACTTTCTGAGACCCGCATTGCTGTCTGCAGCTCCTCCTACTCACTCTTTCCTTCCCCGTCTCTTTCCCCAGGTGTTAGCCCAGTATCCCAGTCTGAAGACGTCCGCCCTTTATCTTTCACAGGGATTCCCTTGATAAATCCCCTGCAAGTCTGAGCCTGTCCTGGCATCTGCTTCCCAGAGGATCCAAATTAACACAGATAACTTCCATTTTGTAGGATGAGATAATGAAGTCTACAACCATCCAAACTCAAAATCATCTGTTGTCAAGGAAATACAGTTTCACATTGCAGTGGTAAGGACCATGGGCTTTGGGTAGACCAGGGTGTGAGTCCTACCCACCAGCGGTATGACCTTTAGGAAATGTCTTAGCCCGCCCTGACCCTCTATTTCCTCATCCGTGGAATCAGTGATTCTTAACTGGGAACAATTTTGTTTCCTCCGGGACAGTTTGCAATGTCTGGAGATTTTTTTGGTTGTCACAACTAGGGGGAGGGGAATGGTTGCAGCTGGCACCTAGTTGGGTAGAAGGCCAGGGACACTGCTAAATATCCTACAATGCACAGAGCAGCCCCTCCAAGACAAAGATTATCCAGCCCAAAATATCCATAGTGCAGAGGTTGGAAAACTCTGTGTTAAATGGGGATGATAATAGTAAACTAACTCAAAGAACTATTGTGAGGACTCAATGGGATCATGTGTTCAATATCCCTCGCCTTCCTTGTAAACTCCACAAGGGCAGGAACCAGATGATGTAGATCAATGTTCTGTATCATCAATGACTGGATCATAAAAGGCGCAAAGTAAATTATTAATTGTTGAAATATTTATCAAATGAGTGCAAATCAACAAATGCTAATTGTCATCATCATCGTCACCATTGCCATCTTTCCAGCCCCTGGCTCAGTGCCTGAGGCGTAACAGGTCCTCAATCTTTGTTGAATGAATGCATGAGAAATGAAGGATTATTTACTCATTAACTACTAATCTGTGTGCTTTGGAGAGATATTGGAAACTCTTGAGAAATAGGCCTGGCCTTTTCCTTTTTATTTGCAACGAGGAATTTTGTTCGTCAAATAAATGACCTTAAAGGATTGAGACCGCTGCCAAGCCACAGAATCGGAGTCGAGAGGCCTGACTCAGAGTCACGGAGAGGTTAGGACACACATCTTGCAGGGCTTAGGCAAAAAAGGAAAATGGGCCAGGCTTTGTGCGAACTTGCTGTGAAACAAGAGCTGTTTTCAGGGCTCAGGGACAAGCTCTGTCCCATGTTTAATTTCTTCCATCTGTCTGGTATCTGACCTCTGCTGCCCTTTAAGCCATTGCCACATATTGTCTGCACACGTTCCCATATAAGGTGATCTCTCTCTCTCTCTTTCTCTTCCCTCTCCTCTCCTCTCTCTCTCTCTCTCTCTCTCTCTCTTTTCCTCTCCCTCTCTCCGGGTAGCAACACTGACTTCCTCCACCCTGTTCGCCCTCTCTCTGCCTTCCCTGGCAGACTCTGCTGTGAGGATGGATGGCTGGAGAGCAGGAAGGGGCAGGGGGCTGCCAAGGAATGTAACAGGTTTATTTTTGTTCAGGCTGCATTCTTTGCCCAGCCTGCACGCCCCAGCCACTTGGGAATGTCACATGCCGATAAGACAGTGGGGGTGACTGGGATCTGTGGCTCAAATCTGCAACACCCCAGGTGTGAGCCATTGTCACAGAGTCGGGGAACTAAGGGTGGGAGGGGCAGGGACTCTGAGGTCATGGGACTCACCTGTTCCCACTGCCCTGTGTCTGACTCCTAGAAAGACAAGTTTGGTCCTTCAGGGAAACAATTGCAGAAATTGAGATCCATAACCACCTAAGCCCATCTCTGGGCAAAATTCAACATCTACAGGAGAGTGGAGAAGAGCCAGGTGTCAGGGTGAAATTAACAGCTGTGTGACCTTGGGCAAGTTGCCTGACGTCTCTGACTCTCAGTTTCCTTCTTTGTCAAAATAGTATCAGTGAATCTGTTCTCTACTATATGGTGAAAATACACTCACTGAGGGCAGGTATTATTGTCTATTTTGTTTCCTGTTGTTTCACCATCACCTCAAATAGTGCCTGGCACACAGTAGGTGCTCAAATATATGTTGAGTAAATTAAATGAGATAATGTTTTAAGTGCTCAGCACCCAAGAAATAAGAGCTGATTCAACAACACCCTACTCAATGACTACAGATATTTATTAAGCACCTCTTAACAGCCAGACCCTATTAGGTGCTGAGGACACAGGACTAATAGGACAGACAAGGCCCCTGCCCTCAGGGAACTTACATTTGAATGGCAGAGATCTATAATAAAATAAGCTAAGGTCAGAGAGTACTAAGGGCTATGAAAGAAATTTTTTTTTTTGAAACAGAGTTTCACTCTTGTTGCCCAGGCTGGAGTGTAATGGCGTGATCTCTGGCTCACTGCAACCTCCGCCTCCTGGGTTCAAGCAATTCTCCTGCCTCAGCCTCCCGAGCAGCTGGGATTACAGGCATGTGCCACCACACCCGGCTAATTTTGTATTTTTAGTAGAGACGGGGTTTCTCCATGTTGGTCAGGGTGGTCTTGAACTCCCAACCTCAGGTGATCCGCATGCCTTGGCCTCCCAAAGTGCTGGGATTACAGGCGTGAGCCACCGCCCTCGGCTGAAATAAATTTTTTAAAGGATATAGAAGTGTGTTTTTCCAGCCTTTTGACTTTGACTCACAGCAAGAGATATGTTTATCATGTGAACCAATGCGCACACATGCATGTTTATTAAAAGGGAAAAAACAACTGTGGTGGACTGTCTGCACCAACATCTGCCAACAACTTCTCCCATTCATAGAATGCACATGTTGCTCCCCCATCAAGAGGCGGAGTTAAGGCTGGGCGTGGTGGCTCATGCCTATAATCCCAGCACTTTGGGAGGCTGAGGAGGGTGGATTACTTGAGGTTAGGAATTTGAGACCAGCCTGGCCAACATGGTGAAAGCCCTGTCTCTACTAAAAATACAAAAATTAGCCAGGTGTGGTGGCACATGCTTGTAATCCCAGCTACCTGGGAGGCTGAGGCAGGAGAATCTCTTGAACCTGGGAGGTAAAGTTGCAGTGAGCTGACATTGCACTACTGTACTCCAGCCTGGCTGACAGAGCAAGACTCCATCTCAGAAAGAAAAAGAAAAAGAAGTGGAGTCAAGACCCAGTGCAGAGGCTCACACCTATAAACCGAGCGGGAGGCCAAGGCTGGAGGATTGCTTGAGGCCAGGAGTTTGATACCCACCTGGGTAACATAGTGAACCTCCATCTCTACAAAAAAAAAAAAAAAAAAAAAAAAAGAGGTGGAGCCAGCTTCCCCTTCCCTGTTTTTGTTATTTGTTTGTTTTAGAGACAGAGTCTCAGTCACTCAGGCTGGAGTGCAGTGGTATGATCAAACTCATTGAAGCCTTGAACTCCTAGGCTCAAGTGATCCTCCTGAAACTGGCCCAACACTCCCATACACTGTTCTTTTGGATAAACATAGACATTGACCCTTCTGCTATTAAAGCTGTATTTGTTTTATCTGAGGACCTTCAGGCCTCTCAAAAACAAGTACTGAAGCACTGAAACTCACCAGATCAGGGCATCAGATGACTTCCTGCCCTTCCCTAGTTCTTGTTTTCCCGCATGTTGTTACATTTCTTCCCCACTATATAAACTCCTAATTTTAGTAGACCAGGGAGTTGGATTTGAGACTCAGCTCCCATCACTTCAGCTGCAGCACCCAATTAAAGCCTTCTTCCTTGGCAATACTTGTCCTGTCAGTGATTGGCTTTCTGTGTGGCAAGCAGCAGGACCTAGTCTGAACCCCTGGTGTTTTGGTAACACTCCTGCCTCAGCCTCCCGAGTAGGTAGGACTACAGGCATGCAGCACCACGCCAGCTGATTTTTTCATTTTTTTGTAGAGTTGGGGTCTCACTATGTTGAGTTCAAACTCCTGGGCTCAAGCTGTCCTCCTGCCTCAGCTTCCCAAGGTACTGGGACTATAGGCATGAGCCACCACACCCAGCCTCTCCCTTCCCTTAAATCTGGGTGGCTCTTGTGATTTGCTTTGGGCAATAGGATGCAGCGGAAACAACTTTGTGCCTTTTCTGGGCTTCAGCCTTAAGGGGACTGGCAGCTTCCACTTTTGTGCTCTTTGTACCCAGAACCATGAAAGGAAGCTCAGGTCAGACAACTGAATGATGAGAGGCCACAAGAGAAGGAGAGCTTCCATGTGAAGAAGTGGCCACCAACACTAACATCCAGATCCAAGAGGGATGCCACCTTGGATGTTCTAGCCCCACACGGACCTCCAGCTGGATTCAGCCGTATGAGTGATCCCAGCAGATACCACATGGAGCAGAACCGCCCAGCTGAGCCCAGCTAACCCACAGACTTGTGGGAAAAAACGGTTGCATATCAATAAATTTGGAGTGGTTTATTAAGAAGCAAAAAATAGGCTGGGCGTGGTGGCTCATGCCTGTAATCCCAGCATTTTAGGAGGCCGAGGCAGGCAGATCATTTGAAGTCAAGAGTTCCAGACCAGCCTGGACAACATGGCGAAACCCCCATCTCTACTAAAAATACAAAAAAGTTAGCTGGGCATGGTGGCTCGTGCCTGTAATCCCAGCTACTCGGGAGGTTGAGGCAGGAGACTCGCTGAACCAGGGAGGTGGAGGCTGCAGTGATCTGAGATTGCACCACTGCACTCCAGCCTGGGCCACAGAGGGAAACTCCGTCTCAAAAAAAAAAAAAAAAAGTAAAAAAATTTCTGACACAGTAATATTTACCCTTATCCTTGTGTGATATTTTCTGTTTTATTTCATTTCATTTTTTAAAATGTTAATTGAGATCCACTAAATTGATTTCCATTCCCTCTAATAGGCCATGACCAACAGTCTGAAGAGCACAGTGATGGAGGGTGACTGGTGGGTTGGTTACTTTAAGTAAGAGGAACAGAAAAGACCTTGCTGGCTGGGCATGGTGTCCCATGCCTATAATCCCAGAGCTTTGGGAGGCCAAGGCAGGAGGATCATTTGAGCCCAAGAGTTTGAGACTAGCCTGGGCAACGTAGCGGGACCATGTTTCTACAAAAAATTAAAAATTAGCTGGGCATGGTGGTGGGTGTAGTCTCAGCTACTCAGGAGGTTGAGGAGGATCACTTGAGTCCAGGAGGTCGAGGCTGCAGTGAGCCATGATCATGCCACTGCACTCCAGCTTGGACGAGACCCTGTCTCAAAAAAAAAAAAAAAAAAAAAAGAAAGAAAGAAAGAAGGAAAGAAAAGGGAGGAAAGAGAGAGAGGAAGGAAGGAAGGGAGGGACGGGAAGGAAGGGAATTTTTTTTTCCAAAAAAAAAAATATAATTGAGATGAGAGTCACATAACATAAAACCAACCATTTTAAAAGGAACAATTCCATGGTAATTAGTACATTAACATATATCGTACAACCACCTCTGTCTATTTCCAGAACATTTTCATCACCTCAAAAGGAAATGCTTTTTTTTTTTTTTTTTTTTTTTTTTTTTTGAGACAGAGTGTTGCTCTGTCACCCAGGCTGGAGTGCAGTAGTGCGATCTGGGCTCACTGTAACCTCCACCTCCTGGGTTCAAGCGATTCTTCTGCCTCAGCCTCCCACGTAGCTGGGATTATGGGCCTGCACCACCGCACCTGGCTATTTTTTTGTACTTTTAGTAGAGACAGGGTTTTGCCATGTTGGCCAGGTTGGTCTTGAACTCCTGACCTCAAGTGATCTGCCCACCTTGGCCTCCCAAAATGCTGGGATTACAGGCGTGAGCCACTGTGCCCGGCCTCAAAAGGAAATTCTGTACCGATTAAGCACTTGCTTTGCATTCTCCCCTCTGCCTGGCCCCTGGCAACCACCAGTCCACATTCTGTCTCTAGGGATTTGCCTATTCTGAGTATTTCATATAACAGGAGTCATACAACGGGTGGCCTTTTGCATTTGGCTTGTTTTGCTCAGCACCATGTTTTTGAGGTTCATATATGCTATAGCATGGACCAGTACTTCATTTCTTTTTATGGCTGAATAATATTCTACTGTATGTATATACCACAGTTTGCTTATTCATTCACCCATTTGCCCATCATTTTGAGTCGATCATTTCATCTGTAGCACTCTCATAGACCTCGATTTGACGTCATCAGCCCCAGGAGGATGAGGTGGTCTTGGCAACATGAAAGACAAAGCCAGTTTGTGCCCTGCTGCTCTTGTCCGCTTCCACCAAACTTCTCCTGCATGATTCTCAGCTTCCTGATAGCCCAAAATGCAGCTCCACTGCCGGTTACCCTTAAATACTCCCCCTGAACTCTATAAATACACCAAACATTCAGCTGGGAAAAAAAGAAACTTGAAAGGCATCTGAAATGAAAATACACTTTTTTTCCCAGCATTGGCCAAGTGTTTTCTCTCCATCTTCCCCCTCTTTGATTTTGGGATAAGCGCTTGGATTTCAAACCATTAGCTATACCTGGGTGTGAGAAGAGCTTCCTTGGCAAAGCCCTTGTAGGCACAGAAGTCCAGGCACTGTGTTGATGTGGTCCCTCCCACACAGAAAATCCCTGTGCCTCCCACCTCAGCAGCCTGATTTATGGTTCTTTCGGTCTCTGCTGGGCCAGTTTGGAGCCAGTTTAGGAGGCTGATGAAAATGGCTTTGGAATCAGGCAGACCTATGTTTGAATCTTGGCTCAGCCAGCTACCAGCTCTGCGACCTTGGGCCTCTGTTAACTCTCTAGGTCTCAATTTCCTTAATCATAAAGTGGAAAAAAATAATACTGTGGCTGGGTGTGGTGGCTCACGCCTATAATCCCAGCCTCTTGGGAGGCCAAGGCGGGAGAATTGCTTGAGCCCAGGAGTTCAAGACCAGCTTGGGCAATGTAGTGAGACCCTGTCTCTAAAGAAAAATGCAAAAATTAGCCAGGCATGGTGGTTCTCGCTTGTAGTCCCAGCTACTCAGGAGGCTGAGGCAGGAGGATCTCTTGAGCCCAGGAGGTTGAGGCTGCAGTGAGCCATGATCACACCACTGCACTCCAGCCTGGGTGACAAAGTTAGACTGTCTAAAAAAAGAAAAACAAAAAACTGTCCTTGCAGACTTGTTGTGAAGATTAAATGAGATTATGTAGGTGCAGGCAGTGTGCCGAAATGAAATTAGGCCTAACTCACATAATGCCTGGAACTTCAGCTAGAAGAGAGAAGTGCAGCTTGGAAGACATGGGGCTGGATTCACTGACCCCACAAGGCCTGACTGCCCATCATTTTGATTGTGTAATTTTATCTATAAAGTCAGTCTGCCCCTCCGGATCCACATTGCTGTGGATTAAATTAAAAAAAAATTTTTTTTGAGACAGAGTCTCACTCTGTCACCCAGGCTGGAGTGCAGTGGTGCAATCTTGGCTCATTGCAACCTCCATCTCCTGGGCTCAAGCGATTTTCATGCCTCAGCCTCCCAAGTAGCTGGGATTACAGGCACATACCACCACACCCAGCTAATTTTTGTATTTTAGTAGAAACAGGGTTTCACCACGTTGGCCAGGCTGGTTTTGAACTCCTTACCTCAAGTGATCTGCCCACCTCAGCATCCCAAAGTTCTGGGATTACAGATGTGAGCCACCGCGCCCAGCCCCACTGTTGCCATCTTCCTCCCCCTCTTTGTCCAGGGAGGCGCATCTGCATGGATGACCTCAGGGGAGCTCCCTTTCCCTTTGGCTCTCTGTTGGGTTTAGCTAGTGAGGAGCCAAGCAAGAAGAGATCAGAGGATAGGACAGTGGGATTGGGACTGGCTGCGTCAGAGGCTCTTGTTAGGCAACTGTCTCTGTAGGGCTGATCTGTCAGGCTTTTTGTGTTTGTCCTCTTCTCTTCCTGCTTCAGGCTTAGGGGCAGCAATGGCTGCCTTTGGTGCTGGTCTCTTGGTTGCCCTAAATGCTGTCCACACCTTTATAAATAGCCCTTTATTAAGCTATCCTCAATTGCCCAGAGTTTGCCATCTTTATCCTGCCAGGATGCTAACTAATACAGAAGTTATCAGTTTTAGTCCACGACTCAGATTTGCAGGAGGAAGGACATTGTTTTATAACCAACTGAAATCCAATTCTGAGCCCCCATTCTGCTAGGTTGGAGAGAAATGTAATCTTGTTTTGAGCATCCCCCCTCCCCCAACACACATCCTAGGGGATACCAAGTCCCGGGGCTCTTTTGCAGTGATGTAGCTTTGGGCAACACCTGCAGTCTTCTGTCAGTGGCCCACCCTAGTGACTGCTTGGTCACCCATCCTCCCAGGCTACAGGTCCTTTCAGGTCCAATAGCATTGATCCTTCCATGTCAGGCCTGAGACAAAGAAAGCTTTGGTCAGACTGGAAGGCACTGGACTTGTGGTGTGGCCTCCTTAGGGTATTTCTCCCTTCCCAGAAGCTGCTCTGGACTTATCAACTTGTGACCCTTCCCACTCTCCATAACATCTGTCTTTTCTCTTCTTACTCTTGTTTTGTCTCATTTTGTTTTGTTCTGTTTTGTGTTGTTTTGAGACAGGGTCTCCCTCTGTTGCCCAGGCTGAAGTGCAGTGGCACAATCCTGGCTCACTGCAGCCGCAACTTCCTAGGCTCAAGACATCCTCCAGCCTCAGCCTCCCCAGTAGCTGAGACTATAGGTGCACGCCACCACGCCTGGCTAACTTTTTATTTTTTATAGAGATAAGGGTCTCACTATGTTGCCCAGGCTGGTCTCGAACCCTTGGACTCAAGTGATCCTCCCACCTTGGTCTCCCAAAGTGCTGAAATTATAGGCCTCGACCTCCGCACCTGGCCCCACCTTACCCTTGAAGGAACCCCCCTCTCCACTCCCCGCCTGAGGACAACCAGTACAATTTCCCCTAAACACTTCAATTCTTCACACGCCTACAGGGTCTGTAGGAAGTACAGATGTACTGGGCAAAGTACAGCTGGATTTTCAACCTGCAGAAGTCAAGACAATAAAAATTCTTTCAAGAGGATGGGAAACAGAAGGGGTACACACATAAATTAAAATTTGAATAAATTCTGACACATATTTGAAGTATTTAGCAAAGTTCCTGACATATAGTAAGCACTCAATAAGTGATGATATAATGATAATTTCAGCCCACTAAGAATGTTAGGTGCATCCTGGCTAGGCACGGTGGCTCACACCTGTAATCTCAGCACTTTGGGAGGCCAAGGTGGGCGGCTCACTTGAGGTCAGGAGTTTGAGACCAGCCTGAGCAACATAGTGAGACCTCATCTCTAAAAAAAAAAAAAAAAAAAAAAAAAAAAAATTAGCTGGATATGGTGGCGCCACCTGTAGTCCCAACTTTTCGGGAGGCTGAGGCCGGGAGGTACAGGCTGCAGTGAGTTATGATCACGCCACTGCATTCCAGCGTGGGTGACAGAGTGACATCGTGTCACTGAAAAAAAAAAGTTAGATGCATCCTATATTTCAATCCATACTGATGACTAAGGAGTTAATATGAATTGCGTATTATTTTGGCTATTCTACATTGCCCATTAATCTCATCAGCAATTTCCAGCCTTTGTGAACCATAGCACATTTATAAATACAAAACCCATTTTATAAAAGCCATCTGAGAAAAATATAGTACCAGGCACACATTTAAGAAGACCTCTGGAATCTCATCCATTTAAGTTGAGTATTTCACATATTATTTATCTTTTTACCTTTTAAGAAAGCACATTCTGCTACTAAACATACCCACAAGATTAAATTGTCAGAACAGAGACAATTTAGGATATCTGCAAAATGCAATTCAGGTTTCCGTTCAAATTTAATTTCTTTCCTCTCCAAGTAACCTGGATGGCAAAGGCATTAAATGACAATTAATGGATAACAGAATAACCCTCTTCTGAATTTGTTTCTGCGTCTGGGTCATTTTTCCCAGTTTTAAAAGAATGAGATAAAGTGGGCAGCCTGCAGAATAGCCCCAGATGGGATAGCATCTTGAATCCTGGCACTCGCTGAATACTCGTGCAGAATCCAGAAATATCTCATGGTCAGGATGAAAGGTCTAAATTTAATACCAAAAACAGAAAATTGGCTTGGCTTCCCTGTACTCTGCACAGGAAAGTTCTTGTTTGGAAGTTCTGAAATGAGAAGGGATTGGAGACATTATATTCATGGCCATCCTCAGATGTTTGTGGGGGATCCGGAGAGGTCTGCTGGGTTATCCCAAGACCTTGTTTGGCCCACAGTGGAAGACCACATTGAAGAAAGATAATTCGTGGAAGGAAATCAGGGAGAAGGTTCTCATTGATACAGATGCTCTCTGCCACGAGTGCAGGCTCATTCCTTCCTCTTCCGGTTTTTCTTATGCAGCTTTCCAGATTTACCAGCCTTCCCTGACCACCTGGTCTTCCCTGATCTACTGGTCTTGTTTGCATAGCATCTCTATCTCTGATAAGAGGATCCAGCACTTCCTTTGGGTCTGACACACTTCAGACCAATGAGAGTGAGCCCTGGAAATTTGCTGAAACTATTGGATTAAAAGTTCTACTTTTTTTCTTTTTCTTTTCTTTTTCTTTTTTTTTTTTTTTTATTTGAGACAGGATCTCACTCTCTCACCCAGGCTGGAATGCAGCAGTAAGATCTCAGCTCACTGCAACCTCCGCCTCCTGGGTTCAGGCGATTCTCCTGCCTCAGCCTCCCAAGTAGCTGGGATTACAGGCACCTGCCACCACGCCCAGCTAATTTTTGTATTTTTTTTGTAGAGACAGGGTTTTACCATGTTGGCCAGGGTGGTCTCGAACCGCTGACCTCAAGTGATCCTCCTGCCTTGGCCTCTTAAAGTGCTGGGATTACAGGCATGAGCCATTGTGCCCAGCCTAAATGTCTCTTTCTAAGAAGCTGGAATTGTCAGCCTCTTTTTTTCACTTCTCAGCTTCCTCAGACCTTGGGGGTAGGTTTGCATAGGCCTGCTCACCTCAGAACAACTTCACAATTACATGAGATAAAACCTCTTCTCTTTATTTTTTATCTTATAACTAAACTGAGGCTTGAAAAATACACTTTACCAGGAGTAATTTTCCCCCTCTGAATAATCGGACCAAAGGTTCAAAACTGTGGATACCCCTTATTATCTACGCAGTTAAATAAGGAGATAAGAAGGGGCAGCTTCAAGTCTTTCTCACCTCCTCCTCACCTTGCCTCACCCTCTCCTCCAGTGGAAGATGGTGAACATTTGAAGCCCATCCATGTAAGCAGCATCTTCTTATCAGATGGCTTCTGGTGAGAAACAGATTGGGAATTCTAGTGCTTTGGTAGCAAGGGATGAGTAGGTTTCAGTAACAGGTCCGTTATAACCAAAAACTACTAAAGGCTCCACATCTTGGGTCCTGTAATCTACAACCATGGGTACCCAACAGGCCAAAAATTAACAAAAGTTGAAAGGAAGAGACACTGTAAGAATGAATCCTCTCTCCCGTCCTGCTGATGTATATACCCTGTCACCTGACCTAGGCAATGGAATCCTTATTCATAAGGGGGCGAAAGTGTGTATACAAATGTTCATAGCAGATTATTCATAGTAGCAAAAAAGTGGAACCAACTCAAATGTTCAGGAATAGAAAATGCGTAAAGAAAATGTGGTCTATCCATAGAATGGAATTATTTGGCAATAAAAGGGAATGACGGGCTGGGCATGGTGGCTCACACCTGTAATCCCAGCACTTCGGGAGGCTGAGGTGGGTGGATCACTTGAAGCTAGGAGTTCAAGACCAGCCTGGTCAACATGGCAAAACCCCGTATCAACTAAAAATACAAAAAATTAGCCAGGCGTGGTGGCGCACACCTGTAGTCCCAGCTACTCAGGAGGCTGAGGCAGGAGAATCGCTTGAACTCGGGAGGTTTGAACCCAGGAGGCAGTGGTTGCAGTGAGCCAAGATCATGCCACCGCACTCCAGCCTGGGAGACAGAGGGAGACTCCACCTTAAAAAACAACAACAACAACAACAACAAACAAAAAAACAAAAACGGGAACGGGAATGATGTATTGATCCATGTTACTACATGGATGAATCTTAAAAACATTATATACTAAGCAAAAGAAGTCAGACACAAAAGATCACATTTTGTGTGATTTCATTTATATGAAATGTCCAGAAAAGGCCAGTCCATAGAGATGGAAAATAAATTAGTGGTTGCCTGGGGCTGTGAAGTGGGGAGATTTTCATTGTGAGGGTGATGGCTGAAGGGTACAGGGTTTCTTTTTGGTGTAATAAAAATGTCCTGGGATTAGATAGTGGTGATGATTGCATAACTTTGTGAATATGCTAAAAGCCATTGAATTGTACACCTTTTTTTTTTTTTTTTTTTTTTTGAGGCGGAGTCTCACTCTGTTTCCCAGGCTTGAGTGCAGTGATGTGATCTCGGCTCACTGCAACCTCTGCCTCCTGGGCTCAAGCGATTCTCCTGTCTCAGCTTCTTGAGTATCTGGGATTACAGATGCCCACCACCATGTCTGGCTAATTTTTTTTTTTTTTTTTTTTTGTATTTTCAGTAGAGACGGGATTTCCGCATATTGGCCAGGGTGGTCTCGAACTCCTGGCCTCAGGTGATCTGCCCGCCTCAGCCTCCCAAAGTGCTGGGATTACAGGCGTGAGCCACCATGCCCAGCCTGAATTGTACACTTTAAATGGGTGAATTGTATGTATGTGAATTATATCTTAATAGAGCTGTTTCAAAAAGAGAGTAAGGAAGGAGTGGGAAGCTTTCAGAAAGGCTGTCACATATGGCTGGAACTTCCCTCCCTCTATTAAAAATGTCAAATATAGTTCAGCCAAAAGGCATTGTTGGGAGCTTACAGAGAAGACTCAACATAGCATCTAAGGAGGAAAAAAAAAGGCTTCACGGGTAGCTCAGCTGGGAGGAGATCAGCAATGCCTCTGTTGTTGTGAAATTGTTGCTGACAATTCCCTCTTAGACTCTTCAACGAATCCACCCAAGGTTTTATGTTAAATGAATCAGGCGGCTGGGCGCGGTGGCTCACACCTGTAATCCCAGCACTTTAGGGAGGCTGAGACAGGAGAATTGCTTGAGCCCAGGAGGCGGAGGCTGCAGTGAGCCGAGATTGCGCCATTGCACTCCAGCCTGGGTGACAAAGTGAGACTCCATCTCCAAACACAAACACACACACACACACACACACACACACACACACACACACACACACACACAGAATCAGGGGGTGGTAGCCAATCTTCCTTTGGCCTCGGGGACCCAATATATGCAGTTCTCTTTTTTACTGTAAGTCGGAACATAAATTTTTCAATATACAGATTCCAGGAAGCATGCTGACTGGCTTCAAGTTCTTCCCCGTGTTCCAGAGCAACCATATTAAGCATAAAATCTATTCAAGTTTGAGTCCAAAGAGTGGATCCTCTTGCTTATTTGAATTTATACAGGATTGCAGTCTCATAACTGAAAGGTATAGTGTTTGTAGACCAGGGGCAACAGAGAGAGGAGGAACTAAAAGCTATTAGATAAACCACTCCTATCTAGGATTTCTATAGCCTATACCCATAAACCCTATAGAAGGTGCAAATCTAACCATCTTTTTTTTTTCTTTTTTCTTTTCTTTACTTTTTCTTTTTTCTTTTCTTTTCTTTTTTTTTTTTTTTTTGAGACAGAGTCTCACTCTGTTGCCCAGGCTGGAGTGCAATGGCGTGATCTTCGCTCACTGCAACCTCTGCCTCCCAAGTTCAAGTGATTCTCCTGCCTCAGCCTCCCACGTAGCTGGGATTACAGGCATGCACCACCGCACCCAGTTAATTTTTGTATTTTTGATAGAGATGAGGTTTCACCTTGTTGGCCAGGCTGGTCTTGAACTCCTGACCTCAAGTGATCGGCCCATCTCAGCCTCCCAAAGTGCTGGGATTACAGGCATGAGCCATTGTGTCTGGCAAACCATCTTATTTTTAAAGTTTTATTCAAAAAATTCTTTTACTTCTTTTTTTTTTCTTTTTTCTTTTCTTTTTTTAAAGATGGGGTCTCACTGTTGCTCAGGCTGGACTTGAACTCCTGGGCTAAGACTGTCCTCCCACCTCAGCCTCCCAAAGTGCTGAGATTACAGGCATGAGCCACCATGTACATGCCTCATTTTTTTAAAAAGAAAAAACATAAATGTCTTCAGTGCCTCCCAATGTTGGGCACTGTTGTAATCACTTTACCTGTATCAACTCCCTTAATCCTCATGTCAACCCTATTGAGGAAGGTTTTATTATAGCCACGTTTTACAGATGAGGAAAGTTTAGCAAGATAAAGAGAGGGTACACAATGGCAGATGCAGAATTCAAACCCAGGTAGCCAGGGATGTCTCCTAACACACCCAACAGGATCAATGAATTATATAATCCCTTCTACAAATCTTGTATTGTTTCTGTCAGTATTATGTAAGTTATTTAATTCTTTGAGGTTTTGAGTGTTGCTTCCCCTAATTGGTTGTGGGGTGGGGCCAGTTTTAGTTTCTCTCCAGGAGCCCTGCAGGGTACCTACGCTTGATATTTCAACAGTCAGAGGGCAGCCAACAAAGGGACTGGTCTTGGAATGTTGTGTTGCCTCTGCCCAAAACACTCTCCCTTTTCCTGTTTGGCTAATTTTTACTGATCCTTTTTAAGAGATGGGGGTCTCCTTCTGTTGCCCAGCCTGGAGTGCAATGGTGCCACCCCTGACCAATTTTTGCTTTTAATTTTTTGTAGAGAAAGGGTCTTGCTCTGTTACCCAGGCTGATCCTGAACTCCTGGGCTCAAAGTTATCTTGTTGCCTTGGTCTCTCAAAGTGCTGAGATTACAGGCGTGAGCCACGGTGCCAGGCCTAATTTTTACTGATCCTTAAACATCACTCCATTTGACAGAAACTTTCCTGATGGTATGGCCCCTTTGGCACCACCCTCCCCAAATAAACTTGAGGCCCTTAATCTGGGCTCCTAATCATTGGCTTCTCTTGTTACAGCATTTATCTCAATTGTATTGGTGTTGCCCCTTTAATAATCTCTGCCGGCACTAGACTGTCAGCTCCATCAGGGCAGGGGCCAGGTAAGTCCTGCCCTTCTGCATTTCCAGCAGCCTGTACAGTACAGGGCATATAGGAAATGCCTAATACGTAATCTGTTATTTTTTGTTGTGGTAAGTCTGATGCTAAAGCTATAGTTGGTTTCTCCTATGCTGTTTGAGCAGGCAACTAAGTTTTCAAGGTATCAATAATTTGATTTTTTTTCCTTCTCTTTCTTTCATTGCCAGCTGATATCACTAAGTATCGTGGTCTCTAGTCTAATAGAGGTTGGTTCAAAATACCATTTGCCAACTAAGGTCTCCCACAAACCAGCTAGTGCAAATTCCAGTAGACTTTTAAACCTCATCAGTGACTGGGCACAAAGATCTCCCTGCGTCCTGCGTGGGATGTGAACTCCATGAAGACCACAAGGAGGATTTAATTTATTTCTGCAGTCACCTAAAGAGAGCCCACTCAGAAGCCAAAGGAACATTAGGACACTTAGTTCTCCCACACCCCCTTTCAGGCTCTCAGCATACTCAAAACGTATTGGGTTTAAAAAAATTTAATTCCCAGTACAGGCAATGTGGCCCAGTAATGTGACACAGAAGCTGAAATCTCTATGATGAATGTGTCTTCTTTTAATCCTGCCAGAGCCTCACTACAATTGTTCCTATGCATAACCTAATTTGGAGATACTTATGTCAAAAACCTAAATTTGAAGCACTGGCCAAATGCTTGCTCATCCCAACCCCCCTACCACCCAGCCCTGCCTCAAAAACAAACAAAAATCATCACCCACGTTTGGCGCATGAATGCATGCATGCATGCATGAATGAATGAATGAATGAAACATCACACGCATTTAACATAGGTTAATCATGCAGAGAGTATTTTGTAAACTGCGAAGTGCAGGACTTTCGGGAAGCTTATTGTAGCGCGTCTAGGTCGGAGTAACAGTCCCAAATGCCCTCGGCTGTCTGCAGTGGCTCAGCACGTGGGCCCGCTTTGCAAGTAAGCCCGGCTCCCGTCCGCCCCGTCCGCCCCGCCCCGTCCCGCCCCGTCCCGTCCGCTCCGCCCCGCCCCGCCCCGTCCGCTCCGCCCCGCGCCCGTCCTCCCCGCCCTGGCCCGGCCCCGCCCCCCAGCTCGTGCGCGCGCGCGCGGGAGAGCGGCCGCTCGCCCGGAAGTGACGTAACTCTACGGCCTAGCAACCGTTGCCAAGGAGCTCGACTCTGGGAGCGGTCTAGAGCCCGGGCGCCTCCTGGGGGGTGGGGAAACGGTTTCGTGAGGAGAATTTGAGGTAACCTCGCCAACTCGCGGTCGGAAGCTCCTCTGAACCCCGAAATAGGAGAGAGCTCCCGTCCTCTCTCGGTCCTGATGCAGCACCTCGCAAGTGGAAGGGGTCGTCGCGGTTAAGCCCCCGGATAGGGGAATCGGGCCCCTTCTGGGATTCGAGCGGATCCAGGCCGCTCCCTGGAGGGATGAACTGTCGAGGGGCCCAGGGCAGCCCCCGCTAGAGGCCCGGTCGGGTGTGGGGTCCCCTGTCCCCTGTCCCGAGCCCGGGGAGGGGGACACTATTTCTGGTACTCCCAGGAGGCTGCGGGTCGATGCTCGTGCCAGCCTGGGACCCAGGCAGCACGGTTTCTCTCCCAAATTGTGCCAGAGAACACGCACGTCCTGGTTTTCATTGTTCCCCGCCTCCTGCGACTCGTTTGTGGGTGAGTGCTTGGGAATTAGCGCGGCGACTTCGCGCTAGAAGAGGGACAGTAATTGCTTTTGCTAATTTTAGAGCGCAGAGCCCGCTGGGCACAGACAGCCTTCCTGTTCAGTACATCTTTGTCCTTATCGAGTGACCATTTTTGCAGGCTGGTGGGCGACTTGGGGGGAACCCAACTGGTTTATTTTGCCTTCCTGGAAACGTTGTACTAGTTTATCCAGATTTTTTTTTAAGGGAAAAAAGAGTAGACCTATAGATAATTTCTAAATCATTTAAAATGAAATACATATTTCTGCACGCAAAGGTTATGACGTGGACTTTTACTTAAAATACTTTAAACAATGGAAAACTTGCACTTCCAATATGGATTTTAAAAAAAAACTTACGTAAAGGTTTTCCTTTTATAGCTTAAAGGAAACCTCAGATTTATTATAAGCCATGGTGGTTATCCTTCCTATCCTCTTTTGACTTATTTCTTAGCAATAATAATTATTTGTGCGTAATTTTTCATCATTGTGGAGAAATTATCTTTTTTATTTTATTTTTTCTGTTGAGACGGAGTCTCTCTCTGTCCCCCAGGCTGGAGTGCAGTGGCGCGATCTCGGCTCACTGCAACCTCCGCCTCCCGGGTTCAAGCAATTCTCCTGCCTCAGCCTCCCAAGTAGCTGGGACTACCGGCGCCCGCCACCACACCTGGCTAATTTTTGTATTTTTAGTAGAGACCGGGTTTCACCATGTTGGCCAGGCTGGCCTCGAACTCCTGACCTCAAGTGATCTGCCTGCCTCGGCCTCCCAAAGTACTGGGATTACAGGAGAGAACGACAGCTCCCGGCAGCAACTCATTGCTTAATTCATTTTTAATCCTTAAAGCATTTACCTAGGTAAAGCTGTTTCAGCAGTTAATAAATCAGATATTCAGTTTTTTAAAAAGTTATGATCTTTCTCACTGCCAGCCTGATTTCCTTTAGATTTAGGCTTATGTTGTACTTGTGCCTGTGAACAAGTTCATTCAATCTAGTGGAAGGAATCACTGTTTTAGACACAATGGATGTTCAAAAATGGAATTGGACACAGATACGGAATTTACAGTTTAGCAGGGAAGAGAAGATGCGTACCTAAAGAACTAGCACAAGATCGGCCAGGCGCGGTGGCTCACGCCTGTAATTCCAGCACTTTGGGAGGCCAAGGTGGGCGGATCACGAGGTCAGGAGATCCAGACCATCCTGGCTAACACGGTGAAACCCCGTCTCTACTAAAAATACAAAAAATTAGCCAGGCGTGCTGGCAGGCGCCTGTAGTCCCAGCTACTTGGGAGGCTGAGGGAGGAGAATGGCTTGAACCTGGGAGGCGGAGCTTGCAGTGAGCCAAGATCGCGCCACTGCACTCCAGCCTGGGCGACAGAGCGAGACTCCGTCTCAAAAAAAAAAAAAAAAAAAGCACAAGATCAAAAGTAGTGCTAGGAGAGAAGCACAGATAAAGTGTGGTCAGCTATGAAGGACAGGTGTTGGCACTGCTGCAGAACCTGGAGGATAGCTTGAGAAAGGTTTCCTGGGGGAGCTGGCGTTTGGTGGGCATGGCTTGAAAGATGGTTGGGGGGGTTTGTGCCTCTTGAGATGAAGGAGGGGTGCGCAGTCATTTTAGGCAGAGAAAGCAACATTAACTAAAGGCAGAGTGATAGAAAAACTAAGGAGCAGTGACTGTTTCAATAGGCTGAAGTTTGAAGGGGTAGAAAGATGACAATTTGGAAATAAAGTTGGAAAGGGATAAGTTG
Source organism: Homo sapiens (assembly GCF_000001405.40). NCBI lineage: Eukaryota > Metazoa > Chordata > Mammalia > Primates > Hominidae > Homo > Homo sapiens. Next base: position 110,126,632 of record NC_000012.12, read on the forward strand.
TGCCAGATCATAAAGAGTCTGGAAATCCAAGAAGTTTGAGCTGTATTTTGTGCGCAATAAGGAGCATACAGATGATTTGGAATGGGGAGAGGTGGAGACCAGAGAACAAGAGGCTGTGGCCTCATTGAAGGCCAAAGGAAATGAAGGCAGAGTGGATGCCTACCGGCCACACCAATAACAGAAATGGAAGAAGGGTACTTGAAGTGTGCAGCCTCTACTCAGATGCAGTTGGTTGTGGGCATGCACAAATGTGGGCCCACGGTTGCCAGATCTGATTTTCAAGAGAAACTGGAAATACAGATTTTAAAGTAAAAAATCTCTCAATGTTTTTTGGGAGATTTGGGAGAAACATCTGTTAGGCTTGCAGTCAGGCTCCTAAAATTTAGGAGCATGTTTAATTCCTGGGTAGAAATTATGCACCGGTATGGGAGAGATGTTAATGTAGGGAGGATTTATTATTCATTTGTCCACATTAACTCAGATGATTACTGTTACACCAGATGCATATACAAAGCATTTGATGTTAAAATTAACAGTATATACTGCAGTTTTCATAGTAAAGCCATTATACTTGGATTTCTTTCAACAAAATAACCCTTTTCACAGCATTTTGTATGCCATGTAAAATTATACTTTTCATGCCTACGTTGTATGAACTTAATTCTGGTTTTTACCCAGGACTTTTGTTGCCAGTATTAAGGATTTTTTTTTCTATTTTTACTCTTTAGTTAAAATTATAAGACCTAATTATGAGTGATCAAATTAAATTCATTATGGACAGTCTCAATAAGGAGCCCTTTAGGAAGAACTATAATTTAATCACGTTTGATTCCTTGGAGCCAATGCAACTATTACAAGTTCTCAGTGATGTTCTGGCTGAGATTGACCCAAAGGTAAGAGTTTTCTCTTTCTTTTTGATGGGTAGCAGAAAGCCAATTTCTCCCTCTAAATAGCTGTGAGTCTTGGGCACATTATTTAACCTCTCTGAGCTTTATTTTCCATGTCTGTAAAGTAATAGTAAATAATGCATAACATTTCTCTGCTAGCTCAAAAATAAATTATCTATTGGTACCTTATTTCAAAATTATTTATCCACTTCCAGACATAAATAGGTTTGGTTAGGGAATGAAAATTCTTTTACAAAAGGTTTTATTGTATTGCAAGTTAGTTCATGTCTCTCATACACTGGTCCATTCCACTGGATACTTTTTTTGAAGCTTAACATTCTTAATGTGAATCTTGATCTGACTTGGGTGTACCCTCACTTGGAATCTGGGGGCCTCCATCCTTAATCTGTTTTATGAAGAGACCATTGTGCTGTTAAGCTCTAGCAGAACAATTTTGTCAGTGAGTTTAAATATTGTCCTTTGTTACATATACAACAATAACATGTTTTTTTCAATTTCTTTGTTAGCAACTTGTGGATATCAGAGAGGAGATGCCAGAGCAGACAGCCAAACGAATGTTGAGCCTTCTTGGTATTCTTAAGTACAAACCTTCAGGAAATGCCACAGATATGTAAGAATCTGATCACGTATTGAGTTTTTAAAATTATGCTTTAATATCCAAACCTTCATATACTGCAATCAATCTTTGTAGGTAATACCTGGTTTCCCTCATTTGATGGCCTGAGAACATCACTGAGTTTCAAAATAATCTTAAACCTTCTATAAACAAACTCAGAAGTCTTAAGAGGGTCAGTTCTTTGCCTTAATCAAACTGTCTGGTAAATCCACTATACCATTTTATCCTTTATCTGCCATCCTAGATAAAAACAGCTTAAACACAACTTCCTTGGATATGCCAATGATATATTGAGGGCCAAATTTTTCTAATTTTCTAACTAATGTACAGACTGACTTTAGAATAGCCTTGGGGCCAGGCATGGTAGCTCACACCTGTAATCCTAGCACTTTGAGATGCCAAGGTGAGAGGATCACTTGAGCTCAGGAGTTTGAGACCAGCCAGGGCAACATGGCGAAACGCTGCCTCTACAAAAAATACAACAACAAAAAATCAGCTGGGCATGGTGGTTGGTGCCTCTAGTCCCAGCTACTTGGGAGGCTAAGGTGGGAGGTTCACCTGAGCCAGGAGGTTAAGGCTTTGGTGAGCTGCGTTGTGCTCAAGCCTGGGCAATAAAGTGAGACCCTGTCTCAAAAAAAAAAAAAAAAAAAAAAAAGATTCCTTGGGTTTATCTTTTTTAAAAAGTTACAGAAAGCAATTTGGACATTGTAAATCAGATTTTGAGAAAATGCTGTCTCTCTTCAAAGTTTACCGTTAAGTGCGTGTGTGTTTGTGTATGTGTGTTTCTCTCTTAGGAGTACTTTTCGTCAGGGTTTGGTGATTGGAAGTAAACCTGTAATTTACCCAGTGCTCCACTGGCTTCTTCAGAGGACTAATGAACTGAAGAAAAGAGCATATTTAGCTCGTTTTTTAATAAAACTTGAGGTACCAAGTGAGTTTCTTCAGGATGAAACTGTGGCTGACACCAATAAACAGGTAAACAATACATAAATGGTACATTGAAACTGTAATGGATTTCAAGGTGTATATATTCAAATACATGTTACTCTTTTTTTATTTGCTGTCTTTGTAGTTCCAAGTGGCACAAGAAGATAAAACTGTATCAGCTAATGTTCAACTATGGCCACATCTCAAGATAATGGCTTTTGCACACAAATACTGTTTTAGTGATAGGAGTATGTGAATAGAAAAAAAAAAAACCTGATACTAAGATTTTAGAATAATTTATTACTTAGCAATTGTGGGTAAATAGAATCCTGGGTTAAGTCTGCACAGCACTTTGTTCATCAGTAAGGTGACTACATAGTTTTTTATCCAAATTTGAGAGAAACAGACTATCATAACATTTAAACACCAAGACAAATGGTTTAAATTGACACTATCCCAGGCAAATTGGGACATGTGAGGTCCTGGAAAGAAGCAGGCAAAGAACCTAGGCTTGCAGTCTCAAAGCACTTCCCAATCAGACAAAGGGTAGAGATAGATTCCGGAGTTTGAAATCTCAGTGCACCTTTCTTGCCAAGGTTTTGGAGTAACATTGGGCTCTGGCATAAGGTCTTAAAGCTCTTGAGTACTGAGGATTCTGGCTGGTCTGGCTTCTGATCCTGAGATCCCTAAGCACATTGCTGGTCAAAGACTGTGGAGAGAAAGAAACTAGACTCAGATTTAAAAGGACTTTGATTTTTTTTTTTTTTTAAAAAGTGCTTCTGTTTAGTGTTTCACACTTTTATTCCATAGCACTTACATAGACTGATTTGTGCCAAATTGTTGTGAATAGTTTGTCAATCTGTCTTTCCCAATAAATTCTGAGGCCCATAGAGACAGGTGCCATGTCTTATCCATCTTTATTTTCTTCCAGATTTTGTATAGTCACTTCTAATGTTAGCTCAATATTTGGATTGAATCGCAGTAACCAACTGAATATTTTTATTTTTATCCATATATTTTGCTATTTGGGGTAGACATGGCAGTAACTCAAAATAGAGTCAATATTGATCTCTTAAGACAGTATTTATGCAAATAATTATGTCAGATGTCACAGTAGATGCCATGGGAGAAGCACAGCAGAATGAGACCACCTGTCCTTACCTTTGAATATTTTACACAATGTGGGAAATAGAGAAGTGTAAATGTGTACTTTCTCCTTCCTAGGCTCCCACCATCGATAAATCTGATAAAAATTAATTTATCTAGAGGAAGTTGATTAAGTCTTTTTTTTTTTTTTTTCCGAGACAGAGTCTTGCTCTGTTGCCCAGGCTGGATGGAGTGCAGTGGTGCAATCTCGGCTCACTGCAACCTCCGCCTCCTGGGTTCAAGTGATTCTCCTGCCTCAGCCTCCTTAGTAGCTGGGATTACAGGTGCCCACCACCACACCCAGCTAATTTTTGTATTTTTAGCAGAGATGGGGTTTCATGATGTTGGCCAGGCTGGTCTCGAACCCCTGACCTCATGATCTGCCCACCTCGGGTTCCAAAGTGCTGGGATTACAGGCGTGAGCCACGGTGCACGACCTGATTAAGTCTTTGCTAAATATGCTCAGCTAGTTGATGAAAGAATTAATGGTAATAAAGACATACTTGTTCTTGAAGCATATCTGACAGGTATCTCTCTCTATATATATGTATATACATATACATATATATATAAAATGAGAAAGAGATATACACACACACAATGATTTACAATATATAATGATTTACACATTTAGCCAGTCATTTCAGGAATCCTAATAAAAATACATATTATCTTTTGGAATGAAGGGTCTTATAATTAATAATTTGTAGATTTAAGATATGATCAATCAAGAAAAATATTATTCTGTCATTCCCCATCAAAATAACTTTTTGGCCAGGCACAGTGTCTCATGCCTTTAATCCTAGCACTTTGGGAGGCCAAGGTGGGCAGATTGCTTGAGCTCAGGAGTTCGAGACCAGCCTGGGCAACATGGTGAAACCCATCTCTACAAAAGATAAAAAAATTAGCCCAGCATGGTGACGTAAGCTTGTAGTCCCAATTACTTGGGAAGCTGAGGTGGGAGGATCACCTAAGCCCAGGGAGGTCGAGGCTGCAATGAGCTGTGATCGCACCACTGCACTCCAGCCAGGGTGACAGAGTGAAACCCTGTCTCAAAAACAACAAAAAAAAACTATTTTAAAAAATTTTTAGGTAACAGGATTTTTTTCATTCATTCAATTACTTTTTTTTTGTTTGAGACAGAGTCTCGCTTTGTCACCCAGGCTGGAGTGCAGTGGTGTGATCTCGGCTCACTGCAACCTCCACTTCCCAGGTTCAAGCAATTCTCCTGCCTCAAGCTCCTGAGTAGCTGGGATTATAGGTGTGCGCCACTGTGCCCAGCTAATTTTTTGTATTTTTAGTAGAGACAGGGTTTCACCATGTTGGCCAGGCTGGTCTCGAACTCCTGACCTCAAGTGATCCATCTGCCTCAGCATCCCAAAGTGCTAGGATTACAGGTGTGAGCCACCTCACCTGGCCCATTCAACTACTTTATATTAAACACCTCCATGGGTTATGCACTGTGCTAGGCCCTAGGGATACAAGGGTGTACACAATGAATATGATTCTTTTCCTCTTGGCTCTCACTATATGATGGAGGGAGACAGACAGAAAATTATAATAGTCAGTTATAATTGTACATGATATCTACTCTGATAGGATAGATAAAGGGCCAGAGAAGGCTTCTCTGAGAATAGTAGAATCTATGTGAAGACTTGAAGGATGAAAAGGAGTTGCTTAAGTTATGGGTGAGGGAGTCATAGATGTATAAGCTGGACGTGAGAGCATGGAATGTTCAGGAACTCAGACATCAACATAGCTAGTGTAGAGTGTGAAGCAGGAAAGTAACCAGAAATGAAGATAGAGAAGTATTTAGTGTTAAGATGGTAGAGATGTACTTTTTTGTACCCTATATAAATGTATAAGGATGTGTTTTTGTGTTTTTAATGCTGTTCTTACAATGACTTAAGTAATCGCTGTAAGTTAATAGATAACCTGATTAAGAAAACTCTATGGCTAGGCGCGGTGGCTCACGCCTGTAATCCCAGCACTTTGGGAGGCCAAAGCGGATGGATCATGAGGTCAGGAGTTCGAGACCAGCCTGAACATGGTGAAACCCCGTCTCTACTAAAAATACAAAAATTAGCCGGGCGTGGTGGCGCGCGCATGTAATCCCAGGTACTCAGGAGGCTGACGCAGGAGAATCGCTTGAATCTGGGAGGCGGAAGTTGTAGTGAGCCGAGATCGTGCCACTGCACTCCAGGCTGGGCGACAGAGCAAGAGTCTGTCTCAAAAAAAAAAAAAAAAGAAAGAAAGAAAGAAAGAAAACTCTACTGGATCTAGTTATTAGTTTATAATTTCTTAACTTATTCTTCTAGTATGAAGAGTTAATGGAAGCCTTTAAAACTTTGCATAAAGAATATGAGCAGCTCAAGATATCTGGATTTTCTACAGCAGAAATAAGAAAGGTAAAGGAAAGAAAACATAGTAACAATTTTTTTGGGATTTGAATAATATTGGATTTAGCATTTTATTAATTCAGTATGAGTCTTAAGACTATATGGAGACTAGTGATAGCAAATGGCACATTTTACTTTGTGGGGGGACCTTTGGTAGTTCCTTACTGATGAAATTGATGAGACTGGGGTAAATTCACGATGAGTAGTTACTTACAGTACGGAAGAAGAGTGATATATGTCCATCTACTATTCCTCCATTATGTCCTGTAAGTAAACCAGAATAATGACAAGAACCTAGAGTCTATATTTTAATTTATTCATTATTACTAAAGCTTTCTCTCTCTTTTTTTTTTTTTTTTTTGAGACAGGGTCTCACTCTGTCATTCAGACTGGAGTACAGTGGTGTGATCACAGCTCACTACAGTCTCGACATCCCAGGTTCAAATGATCCACATGCCTGAGCCTCCTGAGTAGCTGGGACTACAGGCATGCGCCACCATGCCCAGCTAATTTTTGTATTTTTTTGTAGAGACGGGATTTTGCCATGTTGCCCGGGTTGGTCTTGACCTCCTGGGCTCAAGCTATCCTCCCACCTTGGCCTCTCAAAGTACTGGGATTATAGGCATGAGCCACTGCTGCACCTAGCCTTTATTTCTTGTTTAATCATATTTTCTAAATTTTCTACAAAGCATATGTTCAAGAATACTTTAGTAGGCCAGGCATGGTAGCTCATGCCTGTAATCCAAACACTTTGGGTGGCCGAGGCTGGAGGATCATTTGAGCCCAAGAGTTTGAGACCAGCCTGGGCATGATGGCAAGATTCTGTCTCCAGAAAAAAAAAAAAAAACAAATTAGCCAGGCATGGTGGTGCACGCCTGTAGTCCCAGCTACTCAGGAAGCTGAGGCAGGAGGATCACTTGAGCCTGGGAGTTCAAGGCTGCAGTGAGCTATGATCATACCACTGCACTCTAGCTGGGTGACAGAGTGAGAACTTGTCTCAAAAAAAAAGAAAAGAAAAAATAATTCACTCATAATCTCGTTCTCCAGAGACAACTATGGTTGACATTTTGATAAATATATTTAAATCTTTTTCTTGGTATTCTGTAGATAAATGTTGTAATCCGCCTCTTTCAATTAATGTCATTTCATGACTTTTTCTCATGTCATTAAACATTCTTCTGCATGATTTTTAATGACTTTCATTGTATTATGTGGTGATTTATTTAACAATCCTCATACATTTTGGTCATTTCCAAATTGTAGATGTAACTTGCATTAATGAGAATCTTTACAGAGGATGTCTTTTCATGAATGTTTTATTCGGACAAATCATCAGATATAAAATTACTGGGCTAGAAGGGATGAACATTTATTTTAAGATTTTTTTTTTTGAGACGGAGTCTCACTCTGTCACCCAGGGTGGAGTGCAATGGCGCAATCTTGGCTCACTGCAACCTCCACCTCCTGGGTTCAAGCGATTCTCCTGCCTCAGCCTCCCAAGTAGCTGGGATTACAGGCACTTGCCACCACGCCTGGCTAGTTTTGTATTTTTAGTAGAGACAAAATTTCAACATGTTGGCCAGGCTATATTTTAAGACTTTTGATATTGTTCTTCAGTACAGTGCTATCGGTAATGAGTAAGAGTGCCCATTTTTCCAAATTCTGTCAATACTGACTACCGTGTATATTTTACCTTTACTATTACTGCGATATTTAAGCTATTAGTTTTTTAGATTTAGGAAGGAGTTTTTTTATTTGTTTGTTTTTATAACAAAATACTATGAAGCTGGTTAACAGGAAGGAAGTTTATTTTTGAAGTCTTTATTTTCAGAGACGGAATTGGTTCATTGGAAAAACCAGGTACAAACTTATGTCATGAAAATACCATAGCCTTAAAAATAATTTTGATGGAAAATTGGCAAAATATATGGCTTGGTATTTAACAGAACAGATGGGATGTCAGCAGCTGTTGTTCATGTATTTAGACCTGCACACTTTCCATTATAGAAAATTTTTCAAAAATCATGTGCCCATATTTGGAATCAGAACACAAATGTGCTGGTTGGCAGCTTTACCTTGCTGCATTATAACTGGTTTTTGTTGCATTTCTGGATGAACACCAAGCTGCCAAAAAAATTACCCTGCATAAGAAGCCCTGGGGGAAAAATAGAAATGACCTTCATCCAAAAGAGGATCTTGGTTGTTAATGCTGTGGTTATAAATGATGAAAATGTTAGATGCATAATCAAAATAAAACCTTATCTGTTTCCTACAGACTGAGAATACTTTTTCTTATAAGGTCTTCTTTGCCACTTTTTAGGATATCAGTGCAATGGAAGAAGAAAAGGATCAGCTCATTAAGAGAGTTGAACATTTGAAGAAAAGGGTAAGGCAGAATTAGTACTGTAAGACTTTGGCCCCAAGTCCCAAGGACTTGCAAAGATTTAGGAATGCAAATAAAGATTCAGCCAAGCATGAGTGTACATCTGAGGATGGACTCAAATAACATTGACGAAAAGGGAATCTCTCTAGACAGTAGCCCAGCACTTTCAAGGACCTGGAGCCTAGAGCTTTACTGTCATCTCTAGGGAGTACTGTTTACCAAAAGGAAATGATAAGTGGATGTCTGAGTCACATGACATGCTAATTTTTTTCTTCAAACCTGACAGTAACATGTACTACTTATTCCCTTACTGTAGGTTGAGACAGCTCAGAATCATCAATGGATGCTTAAAATAGCAAGGCAACTTCGAGTTGAAAAAGAGAGAGAAGAATATCTTGCACAACAGAAACAGGAACAAAAGAATCAGGTATCCACATAAAAGTTTATATTCTCAGTATGAAGGAAATAGTTCCTTCTCATAATCCAAATGTAAAGAAAAGAGTTTTAAAATTGTAGACGTTCACGTTCCTTTTGCTAACATAATGGAATACTCTTTTAATTAAGATAAATATTTCAGGCCGGGTGCAGTGGCTAACACCTGTAATCCCAGCACTTTGGGAGGCTGAGGCGGGCGAATCAGGAGGTCAGGAGTTCAAGACCAGCCTGGCCAGCACAGTGAAACCCTGTCTGTACTAAAAATATAAAAATTAGCTGGGCATGGTGGCACATGCCTGTAGTCCCAGCTACTCCAGAGGCTGAGGCAGGAGAATCACTTGAACCCAGGAAGTGGAGGTTGAGGTGAGCTGAGATCACGCCACCACACTCCAGCTTAGGCAACAGAGTGAGACTTTGTCTGAAAAAAAAAAAAAAAAAAAGATAAATATTTTGTGGCAACAACAATACCACTTTTTGGGTTTTATACTCTGAATTGTATCTATACACTGTCTTTTGGCCTATGCTTACCTCGTGTTGTTCCAACATTACAGAAGAGTCATTGTAATGTTAACAGTAAGATTAACTGCTAATAAAACTTCTAGAATCTCTACAGGATGCTTTTAGATTCCAGGGCTATGAGACCATTCTTTTTATTCCAGTGATCACAGTACCCTCTGCAGTTTACTACAATGGCAAATAAGTCATGAAAAGGCTCAAAATCACCTACACTCCATGTTTTTAAACTTTGCCTTAAAGAAAAATAATTTGCTAAGAAATTATTACTTTTACTTATTAAAAATCTATTTTAAAATCTGAGTAGACTTATACATTAAAATATATTTCACATAAGCTTCATTTACTACTAAATCAGCAGTTTAAATGTTTGATTTTGCTGGCACTTGACTTGGCATCGAAGTAGTTTCACTGCAGCAGTAAGCTGCATCGCCTAAGCCCTGAATGGTTACTTGGCGTTGGTTTGTGATTCTGAAACATCACTATATCAATGTTAACATTACTTGGCCTTAAGAAAACCATGTATAACAAGAAAAATCTGGTGTGTGTGTTTCTTTGATAAGTATTTTTCCTTAAACCGCAAATTCAGTAAATAACTAAAGAAAAATTTGTGAAAACTTCCTTAAAAAATGTATGTGAAAAGGTATTGAGAGAACCAGTTACATTTTGGGTTTAATATGGGAATTTTCCGAGTTCTTATTATTTGTTCCTTTTATATCATAAGAATTATATGGAACTTGTATTTTTCATTGCTTGCCTAAGTGAGAGGTAAGCTTCAGTAGACTAAGCAAGTAATCTATTTAATTGTATTTTAAAGCTATTTCATGCAGTGCAAAGATTGCAAAGAGTACAAAACCAGCTGAAAAGCATGCGCCAAGCTGCAGCAGATGCAAAGCCTGAAAGTAAGTGGAAATTATTATATGGTATAGATGATTAGAAAATATTAATTTAAATCACGATCTTCCTAAAAAATCAATTTGTGAGAATTAGTTATCATCAAGTGATGTCTCAGCATTTTGGAACATCATTTCCTAGCTGGAGAAGGAGAGCCCTGATAAAGACATCCCTGGGTTTTCACCAGATGTTTTTAAAAATTCCTAACCAGATGGCCGGGTGCAGTGGCTCATGCCTATAATCCCAGCACTTTGGGAGCCCGAGGTGGCGAGAGGTCAGGAGTTCGAGACCAGCCTAGCCAACATGGCGAAACCCCATCTCTACTAAACATACAAAAATTAGCAGAGCGTGGTGGTGGGTGCCTGTAATCCCAGCTACTCAGGGGGCTGAGGCAGGAGAATCACTTGAATCTGGGAGGCAGAGGTTGCAGTGAGCCGAGACCGCGCCACTGCAGCCCAGCCTGGGCGACAGAGCGAGACTCCATCTTAACAGCAACAACAAACAATTCCTAACCAGTTTTTCACATCAGAGAGTGAAGATAATGAAAACAACTGTGGAGGGAGGCTGTCTGGTTTGTGCTTGTATAAAGGACTTAGCATGGCTGGGCGTGGTAGCTCACACTTATAATCCCAGCACTTTAGGAGGCTGAGGCGGGTGGATCACTTGAGGTCAGGAGTTCGAGACCAACCTGGCCAACATGGTGAAACCCTGTTTCTACTAAAAGTACAAAAAAATTAGCTGGGCATGATGTCATGTGCCTATAATCTCAGCTACTCAGGATGCTGCGGCAGGAGAATTGCTTGAACCTAGAAGGCAGAGGTTGCAGTGAGCCGAGATCGCGCCATTGTACTGCAGCCTGGGCGACAGACTGAGACTCTGTCTCAAGAAAAATAAATAAATAAATAAATAAATAAAGGACTTAGCATGGACGTTGTGAAAATGATGGTTGGAAAAATTATGAATCATTGTTTTAAAGCCAGGGCTATAAAGAAAAAGAATAGAATGCTGGATCCTTAAAACCGAGTGTTTTTCATATTTTGGTTTGTAGAATAACAGTGCTAATGACGTAGGTATCTCTGGCTCTGTTCTTACATTAGCTTAACACAGAGGATAAACTGTCCTAACAGCCCAGATTACACCACCAGATCCATCCTAGGCATTTTACAAAGCATTTTTGCTTGTCAGAAGAAAGACCACGCAAACTGAAAGAGCAGTGGAAAGCTCTCATTTGTACTGGAGAACTATCCCAATGTAAATAGCTGATAGAGGGTTAATTCATCTTTCTGTAGTAATCTATGAAATTCTACAAGAGCAGGGAGCAGGAGGTTAAGGAGTTCCTACTTCGTTGACATCTTTCTGGGAAGTGGAAAGTGATCTGTTCACAGCCTAGGAAAAGGGTAGATTAAACATATTTAATTGATCCAGGTATTTAGTTTAATAAGCTCTAACTTTTCAGTAACAAAAAAGGCTTACAAAAGCTAATGTTTACTTAAATAACAAAAAGTACTTTTAGTATGACAGTATAATTTGTCTTTTTGCAGAGTAACAGCTATATTATAAAACATTCACTGAGGTTAATCATTTTTTTTTTTTTTTTGAGATGGAGTTCCACTCTTGTTGCCCAGGCTGGAGTGCAGTGGTGCAATCTTAGCTCACCGCAGCCTCCGCCTCCCGGGTTCAAGCGATTCTCCTGCCTCAGCCTCTGGAGTAGCTGGGATTACAGGTGTGTGCCACCACACCCAGCTAATTTTTGTGTTTTTAGTAGAGACGGGGTTTCTCCATGTTGGTCAGGCTGGTCTTGAACTCCCGACCTCAGGTGATCCACCCGCCTCAGCCTCCCAAAGTGTTAGGATTATAGGCGTAAGCCACTGGGCCCGGCTGAGGCTAATCATTGTTATACTCCACACATTTGTGAGATTTATTACATAAAAGAAGACACTCATTTGATTATAGTAGGATCAGTGAGATGTTTTCAAAGGGTTTTTAATATAAAAGTTTGCTGACATCTTAGTGACCTTGTATTTAATTTACCCAGGATTTTGAAAGATAATGCTTTTAAAACTTTTCATAGAAACATATGACTATTTTTCAAGGTCTAAGTTAAATTTTTTAAGAGAGTAATTTAAAATTTGATGGAAACTTGGTTTTTATGTTTTAAACAGCTTTATTGAGGTAAAATCGACATATAATAAACCACACAAACCCTGGTGCAGTGGTTCACACCTGTAATCCCAACATTTTAGGAGGCAAAGGCGAGCAGATCACTTGATCCCAGGAGTTCAAGACCAGCCTGGACAACATGGCAAAACCCTGTCTCTACAAAAAAATACAAAAATTAGCCAGGTGTGGTGGTGCACGCTTGTAGTCCAGCTACTTTGGGAGGCTGAGGTGGGAGGATCACTTGAGCTCAGGAGGTGGAAGTTGCAGTGAACTGAGATTGTGCCACTGCACTCCAGCCTGGGCAACAGAGGGAGACTCTGTCTCAAAAAAAAAAAAAAAAAAAGAAAAGGAAAAAAGAAAAGAAAAAGCTGCATGTATTTGGTATGGTTCAGCGACTCACACCTATAATCATACTCCTTTGGGAGGCCAAGGTAAGAGGATCACTTGAGCCCAGGAGTTTGAGACCAGCCTGGGCAACATAGCAAGAATCTATCTCTACAAAAAATAAAAAATTATTTGGGAGGCCAAGGCGGGTGGATCACAAGGTCAGGAGAGCGAGACCATCCTGGCTAACATGGTGAAACCCTGTCTCTACTAAAAAAATATAAAAAATTAGCCGGGCATGGTGGCGGGTGCCTGTAGTCCCAGCTACTTAGGAGGCTGAGGCAGGAGAATGGCATGAACCCGGGAGGCAGAGCTTGCAGTGAGCTGAGATCACGCCACTGCACTCCAGCCTGGGCGACAGAGTGAGACTCCATCTCAAAATAAACACATACATACATACATACAATAAAATAAAATAAAATAAATAAAATAAAATAAAATAAAATAAAATAAATAAAATAAAATAAAATATAAAATAAAATAAAATAAAATAAAATAAAATAAAATAAAAAATAAAAAATTAGCTGGGCATGGTGGTACATGCCGATAGTCCTAGCTGTCCAGGAGCCTGAGGCAGGAAGATCACTTGAGCCCAAGAGTTTGAGGTTAAAGTGAGCTATGATTGTGCCACTGCACTCCAGCCTAGGTGACAGAGTAAGACTTTGTCTCAATAAATAAATAAGTAGCACATATTTAAAATGTATTAAATTTTTTTTTTTAATTTTACTTTAAGTTTTGGGTTACATGTGCTGAATATGCAGGTTTGCTACATAAGTATACATGTGCCATGGTGGTTTGCTGCACCTATCAACCTGTCATCTAGGTTTTAAGCTCCGCACACATTAAGTATTTGTCTGAATGCTCTTCCCCTTTCCTCCCATGCCCTAAAGTGTATCCTTGATTACTTTTGACATACGCATACACTGGTGAAACCATCAGCTTTTAATCAAGATCACAAACCTATCCATCACCCCAGACATTTCCACTGACCCTTTTTAATGTCTCACTCTTGCCCCCTTCTGCCTTTCTGTCCCTCCCCAGGCAACCATGGATTTGCTTTCTGTCACTATAAATCAGTTTATATTTGCTAGAATTAGAAACTTTTTTTTAAATAGAGAAAATATTATTTGAGAATTTTAAATCTTTAAAAACATTTTAGTCTTTGATTCCATGCATCTCTAATTACATGGGGTACACTTAAGAACCTGAGGATGGAAAAGCTGGTCATCTAACAGACAAAGAAGTCAGGATGTAGATTTAATCGAAAACCACATAGGAATGACTGACTAATTACAGTGTGATTTATTTATTTTTATTGTTTATTTACTTATTTATTTATTTTTTGAGATGGAGTTTCACTCCTGTTGCCCAGGCTGGAGTGCAATGGCGTGATCTTGGCTCACTGCAACCTCCGCCTCCCAGGTTCAAGCCATTCTCCTGCCTCAGCCTCCCAAGTAGCTGGGATTACAGGCATATGCCACCACGCCCGGCTAATTTTGTATATTTTTTTAGTAGAGACGGGGTTTCTCCATGTTGGTCAAGCTGGTCTCAAACTCCTGACCTCAGGTGATCCGCCCGCCTCAGCCTCCCAAAGTGCTGGGATTACAGGCATGAGCCACCACGCCTGGCCTATTTTTTATTTTCTGAGACGGAGTTTTGCTCTTGTTGCCCAGGCTAGAGTGCAATGGCATGATCTTGGCTCACCGCAACCTCTGCCTCCCGGGTTCAAACGAATCTCCTACCTCAAGCATCTCTACAGCCTCCAGAGTAGCTGGGATTACAGGCATGGGTCACCATGCCCGGCTAATTTTTTGTATATTTAGTAGAGATGGGGTTTCTCCATGTTGGTCAGGCTGGTCTCAAACTCCCAACCTCAGGTGATTCGCCTGCCTTGGCCTCTCAAAGTGCTGGGATTACAGGTGTGAGACACCACGCCCAGCCTACAGTGTGATTTATTAAACACTTTCTCTTCTCTTCCTTTCTCTAATCCTGAAAAAAGAAGGAATAGTGAAGTAATGAATGGAAAACTTAGAATTTGCAGTTAATAAAATTTTACATGTTAATATATGGTTAGCACGATGGAACTAAAAATAGTTTTAAGGCTTTGGGCCAGATGTATTATGCTTTGGGCCAGATGTATTATGCAATCTATTACACAGATTACTTAAACCAGAAAGCCCATGTGTTAAAAATTTGAGCCAGGCCAGACGAAGTGGCTCACGCATGTAATCCCAGCACTTTGGGAGGCCCAGGCAGGCGGATCACTTGAGGTCAGGAGTTGCAGACCAGCCTGGCCTTAACATGGTGAAACCCTGTCTCTACTAAAAATACAAAAAATTAGCCGAGCTGGTAGTGTGCGACTAATTCCAGCTACTCAGGAGGCTGAGGCAGGAGAATCGCTTGAACCCAGGAGGCAGACAGAGGATGCAGTGAACCCAGAATGCACCACTGCACTCCAGCCTGAGTGACAGAGCAAGATTTCATCTAAAACAAAAAACAAAAAACATTCAAGTCAGAATTTGTAAATGTGTAAATGGAAAGATATGAAATAAACTTTGTAAATCTCTCTAGGCTGGGAATTTAAAACAAGATGGTTATTCACTGAAAATCTGTGTGTATAGTTGTCCAACTGCAAAAATAAGAAAACTAAAATCTTAAAAATATAAATTGCCACTTAACTGTAAACTAATAATACTTTACAAAATAAAAAATACCAAAACATGGAAAACTTAAAACATTTATGTGTAGGTAGATACTTTGTTTCTTTTTTCTTTTGTTTTTTTGAGACAGAGTCTCCCTCTATCCCCCAGGCTGGAGTGCAGTGATGGTGACACGATCTTGGCTCAGTGCATCCTCTTCCTCCCAGGTTCAAGCGATCCTTGTTCCTCAGCCTCCCAAGTAGCTGAGACTACAGGCATGTGCCACCATGCCCGGCTAATTTTTGTATTGTTAGTAGAGACAGGGTTTTGCCATGTTGCCCAGGCTGCTCTCGAACTCTAGACCTAGGTGATCCACCCACCTCGGCCTCCCAAAGTGCTGGAATTACAGGCGTGAGCCACTGCACCTGGCCTGTTACTCTTTTTTAGATTTTAACTTGTGGTGCTTTTAGTAATGTCTTCATTGGCTTGAAGCTGACAAATGATAATGAATTATCATTTATGAACTGTTATAATAGAAATATAAATTGTTCTGGGTACAGTGTAATCCCAGAACTTTGAGAGGCTGGGATCACACCTGTAATCCCAGCACTTTGAGAGGCTGAGGCAGGTGACTGCTCAAGCCCAGGAGTTAGAGACCAGCCTGGGCAACATGGCAAAACCTCGTCTCTACAAAAAAAAATACAAAAATTACCTAGGCGTGGTGATGTACACCTGTGATGCCAGCTACTTCCAGCTACTCAGGAGGCTAAGGTGGGAGGATCACTTGAGCTGTGAAGGTTTAGGTTGCAGTGAGCTGAGATAGTGCCACTACACTCTAGCCTGGGTGACAGAGCAAGACCCTATCTCAAAAAAATAAAAAATACATATGTATATATATAGCATTAAAAGTATTCCAAAAGAAAAAAAATACATGATCATCTGTATAAAAGAGCACCTGGGTTAGATTTTATTTGTGTTATCATTTGGTTCATGGGTCTCTTAAATGCTTAGAAGGTAAAATATGACCCAACAATGTATCTGGCTCAGCACATGTTATTTTTGCGTATTGCGGGATATAAAAGAATTAGGTTATAATTTGAAAGGGTCATAATAGCACTTTTTCTATAATTATTTAAATATTCTTCCATGTAAATTATGTTTCTTCATTTTCATTGTAATTAACAATAAAATATTTCAATGGCCAATCTTTTATTGTACTATGCTATATATTATACAGTTTGTTTTCAACAAATATGCCGTATCCAGGTCTTATATTTAAAATAGTATACAGAATATCACTGTACCTACTCTTTTGGGCTGAATATTTATTTATTTTATTTTTAAAGGTTTAATGAAGAGGCTAGAGGAGGAGATAAAATTTAATTTATATATGGTAACTGAAAAATTTCCTAAAGAATTAGAAAATAAGAAAAAGGAATTACATTTTTTACAAAAAGTAGTTTCAGAGCCAGCTATGGGCCATTCTGATCTTCTTGAACTTGAATCTAAAGTAAGTGAGAATCATCTTTTTATAGCTCTCAATTTTATCTGATCCCCAGTCCTATAAAATTATGTGAACTGCTTTCTGTAGTATCCCACTATTGACTCTTAAATTAACCTGTGCTAAGAGTTGACAACTCTTATGAGGAATTGTCCTTTATGAGGAATTATAGAATGTTATGCTATTACTTAATCCACATGATGTTATGAAAACATAATCAATTGATTAGCAAATGAAGTAACTTAAATATGTAAATTAATGCATATGAATTGACCAGTGGGTTTATGTCTTCATAATGTAAGCATTTAGATGGGAAATTTGGAAATATTTTAATTGTCATTAATTTTTATTTCCAAGCAAAATATTATAGCAATTTTATATTTAAAGCTAATATTTTTATTAACCTTGTATACCTGCCTTGGAATTACTAAATATTGTAATGCTTATTGAAAGCTGGTATCAGGTTATACCTTTTTTTTTTTTTTTTTTTTTGAGACAGTACTTGCTCTGTTGCCCAGGCTAGAGTACAGTGGCACAATCTTCTCAGCTCACTGCAACCTCTGCCTCCTGGGTTCAAGTGATTATCCAGCCTCAGCCTCCCAACTAGCTGGGATTACAGGCACGAACCACCATGCCCGGCTAATTTTTTGTTGTTGTTGTTGTTTTTGTTGTTGTTGTTTTGTTTTTTGTTTTTTTTTGAGACAGAGTCTCGTTCTGTTGCCCAGGCTGGAGTGCAGTAGCGTGATCTCGGCTCACTACAACCTCCGCTTCCCGAGTTCAAGCGATTCTCCTGCCTCAGCCTCCTGAGTAGCTGGGATTACAGGCACGCGCCACCACGCCTGGCTAATTTTTGTATTTGTAGTAGAGACAGGGTTTCACCGTGTTGGTCATGCTGGTCTCAAACTCCTGACCTTGTGATCCACCCATCTCAGCCTCCCAAAGTGCTGGGATTACAGGCATGAGCCACCGCACCAGGACTTGTTTTGTTTTTTGAGACGGAGTCTTGCTCTGTTGCCTAGACTGGAGTGCAGTGGTGAGATCTCAGCTCCCTGCAACCTCTGCCTCCCGGGTTCAAGCCATTCTCCTGCCTCAGCCTCCCAAGTAGCTGGGACTACAGATATGTGCCACCATGCCTGGCCAATTTTTTTATTTTTAGTAGAGACGGGGTTTTGCCATTTGTCCAGGCTGGTCTTGAACTCCTGACCTCAGGTGATCTGCCCGCCTCAGCCTCCCAAAGTGCTGGGATTACAGGTGTGAGCCACTGTGCTTGGCCTGATTATACCATTTTTGTTCCCTAGAATTAAAATGCTAGGTCAGGTGCAGTGCCTTTTTTTTTTTTTTTTTTTTTTTGACGGAACTTGCTCTGTTGCCCAGGCTGGAGTGCAGTGGCACAATCTCAGCTCACTGCAACCTCCACCTTCTGGGTTCAAGCGATTCTTCTACCTCAGCCTCTCGACTAGCTGGGATTACAGGCGCACACCACTATGCCTAATTTTTTTTTTTTTTTTTTTTTTTACACGGAGTCTCACACTGTCACCTAGGCTGGAGTTCAGTGACATGATCACAGCTCACTGCAGCCTCCATCTCCCAGGCTCAAGTGATCCTCCACCTGAGCTTCCCAAGTAGCTGGGACTACAAGGTGCATGCCACCAGTTCTGGCCAATTTTTGAATTTTTTGTACAGACAGGGTCTGGCCATGTTGCCCAGCATGGTCTTGACCTCCCAGATTCAAGAGATCTGCCTGCCTCCGTCCACCTCAGTCTCCCAAAGTGCAGGGATTACAGGTGTGAGCCATTGCACTCAGCCTAATTGAAATGTTTTGACTTGCTAATTCTTTAGTGTGCTTACTATGTGGTTAATAGCCACTACAATTAAATACATAATTCTGACTGTTTTGGTTTTTTTTGTTTTTTTTTTTTTGAGATGGAGTGTAGCTCTGTTGCCCAGGCTGGAGTACAGTGGCGTGATCCCGGCTCACTGCAACCTCTGCCTCCTGGATTCAAGTGAATTCTGCCTCAGCCTCCCCAGTAGCTGGAATTACAGGCACCTGCCACCATGCCCAGCTAATTTTTGTATTTTTAGTAGAGATGGGGTTTCACTGTGTTGGCCAGGCTAGTCTCTAACTCCTGACCTTGTGATCCACCCACCTCAGCCTCCCAAAGTGCTGGGATTACAGGTGTGAGCCACCGCGCCCAGGCCTGACTGTTTTATTCTTTTAATTTACTTAGAAAAATTAAATGTCCAAGTCAGATCTGGCTAAAATTTTGTTTTGTTTTGTTTTGTTTTGTTTTTGAGATGGAGTCTCACTCTGTCACCCAGGCTGGAGTCCAGTGGTGCGATCTCGGCTCACTGCAACCTCCACCTCCTGGGTTCAAGTGATTCTCCTGTCTCAGCCCCTGGAGTAGCCAGGACTACAGGTGCATGCCACCAAGCCCAGCTAATTTTTTGTATTTTTAGTAGAGACGGGGTTTCACCATGTTGGCCAGGCTGGTCTCGACCTCCTGACCTCAGATGATGCACCCGCCTCAGCCTCCCAAAGTGCTTCAATTACAGATGTGAGCCACCGTGCCCGGCCTAATCTGGCTAAAATTTAATGTCACAGAATTAGGGTTAGGGTTAGAGAGAACTCTAATCTTTCAAAGGATGGATACACTGAAAACCATGGTTTTTGTTTTGATATGTTGAGGAACTATATGCTTCTGTCAGATTTATTCAGTTTTATTACATTTTGGAAAGATTTAGATTAATGATTAGGATAAATGATAGTTATCGAAGAATCACAGATTATTAGCACAGGAAGGGTGTTATCCCTGTCAACTGTCAGCTGGGTTCATGAATCATTGTAATAAATCCCTGGTGCATATTTGTTCACATTTGCTTTATCACTTTCAGTGACTTGAAGTCACAACGTAGGTGAGGGGATAACTTCAGATTTTTAGAAAGCATCTTTGTGGTAATGTATAAATATTTCATGTAAAATACTTTAGGATAATTTAGACATAGATGATTAAATCTATATAAGTAATCAAACTGTGTAATTATATGTCATGAAATGTAAATTGTTTCTAAAGGTAATCATAACAAGCTCCCCATAACATTAATGAAACTGTTTTGCCCATCAGAGACTTAATGTTAAGAACTGTAAATTCCAGATGGGTGCCATGGCTCACGTCTGTAATCCCAGCACTTTGGGAGGCCAAGGTGGGAGGATCACTTGAGCCCAGGAATTCAAAATCAGTCTGGGCAACATAGCAAGACCCCATCTCTTAAAAAAAAAATTAGTCTAGGTGAAACTGAGACCTTGTCTTTAAAAAAAAAGAACCATAAATTCAAAGCTGGTTTGGCCAGACGTCACTTAGTTTGTGTACTTATAGGGAAAGTTTTAACTTTTTTTTTTTGCTTTCATGCTATTTTAGATAAATGAAATAAACACAGAAATTAACCAGTTGATTGAAAAGAAAATGATGAGAAATGAGCCCATTGAAGGCAAACTCTCACTGTATAGGCAACAGGTAAGAACATTCTTTTGGCTCACATATTTAGATCTGTAAGCATATTCATGAACCACTGGCTGTGTTATCTATAGTCTTAAAGTGAGAAGGAAGTAGAGAATAAATGTTGTTCTGTCACTGCTAATCTCCATAGTATATCAAAGAATTAGTGGAAAAGCCACAAAAGATGCTTATTCAAGTTTGAAATTACGATACCCCTAATAATGCTTAGTTTCCTTAGCATGTACGAACTGTGGTAATAGAGCTATTTGTGTTTGTATCTGTGACTGTGGAATTTATTTTTAAAATGAAAACTTACCTTAGGTGGTATAAATAAAAATATTTATAATTTTTAATGAGTTAATAACAGTATGCTTTTTCAAGTTTAAAGTTAGTTTGCAAGTGTAGAATAAATTAAATTTTAGTGCTAAAGCATTTATTATTTTATCCACAACTAAATTGTCACTTAGTTTTTGAGGGTACTTATCTTGTTGTATATTTCTATAAAAGATTCAAATGAAGGCCATGGCTTATCTGAAAAGAACCAAGGCAGGAGGATTTTAGTGTGAAGAGCACTCTACAACCTCAGAAAATACTAAGCTACATAACAAAGCATTATTTAAGGACATTAGAATTTTTTAAAACCTTTATAACGGAAAATTTCAATCAATTACAAAGGTAGAGGCAAATTGTTCAATAAACCCTCATGTGTCCCTGAGCTACAGGGCTCATGGCCATTCTTGTTTCCTCTATACTGCCAACCCCAACTATATTATTTTGAAGCATATCTTAGACTTCATCATAACATTTCATCTATAAATGTTTCAGAATATATATCTAAAAGATAAAGGCTTTTTAACTTAACCACAACATACCACATCTGAAAATTTTAATAATTCCTTAATATCAGAAAATATTCAGTCAGCCAGGAAATCAATGACATTCCCTTGTCTCTCTTTTTTTCAATTAAGATCCATATAGGATTCATATATTGCATTTGGCTGATAAGTTATTTATTTATTTATTTATTTTTTGCTGTCACCTATCTGTCCCAGAAAGTTTGTCTCTTTTAATCCATATGTTCTCTTCCCATCGATTTATCTATTTAGTGCTTTTTGGCAATATATGTGTTGACAAAACTGGTTCATTTTTCCCATGATATTTCTAACAGTTTGTGTTTTACTGATTGCAACCCTATGGTGTTGTTTTACCATGTTCATTTGTTTCCCGTATTTCCTATAAATTAGAACTAGGAGCTTGAACAGATCTGGTTTGATTTTTTTTTGGCAAGAAAACTTTCTAGGTGGTATTACATACTTTTATTTGGAAGTGATAATGCTCGGTTGTCTGAGCAGCCACTTACTATTATTGCTCATTGCTTATCCATTAATTTTATTATAAATTATAAAATATTCATATTTTGATTCCTTCTTCATTTATTAGCTGGACTACTTTTTTTTTTTCTTTTGAGATGGAGTCTCACTGTCACCCAGGCTAGAGTGCAGTGGTGCGATCTCGGCTCACTGCAACCTCCGCCTCCCAGGTTCAAGCAATTCCCTGCTTCATCCTCCTGAGTAGCTGGGATTACAGGTGCCCACCACCATGCCTGGCTAATTTTTGTATATTTAGTAGAGACAGGGTTTCACCATCTTGGCCAGGCTGGTCTTGAACTCCTGACCTCATGATCCACCCGCCTTGGCCTCCCAAAGTGCTGGGATTACAGGTGTGAGCCACCGTGCCTGGCCCTGGACTACTTTTATAAAGAGAAAACCTCTCATCAACTATTTGGTTATCCTGAGTTATAGTTCATATAGGATAGGCAGGGTACATGCTTTGTTTTTATCATTATTTATCAGTTTTCATAATGAATTTGTTTCCTCTAACTCATTTGCATCCTCCAACAGTGAAGTGATCAATTAGGGCTATTTTTTGTTGTTTTTTGTTTATTTAATCTCATTATGAATCCTAGACATTATAAGTTTTAAACAGTATCCTTAATGATGCTCAAATTGTCCCAGTTTTGGCTAATGGGAGGCTTTTCAAGTTAACTTTTGACTTCTTTTCAGATTCTAGTGGTCTTTGATAATTTCCTTGCTTTCTGCATTATTTAAGTCATTTCTAGGCTCATCGTTTACATTTCCTACTCTAGACCTGGAATTAGGCTTTCTTCTATGAACCTGGTTTGTTTTAGCAGGAAATGGTATTTAGAAACTGAAACAGGGAAAGTTCCCTTGTCCCCATCGCAGGGCATGTGACAGGGGGAGTGGCTCGCTTCTTTAGTGCCCCACTGCTCAAACCTCTAGAGGAGGTATAGACAGGCAGGTTGTGGGGCTCTGTCCCCACAGCAGTGTCTAAGGGTGAATGTTTACAGCGGAAGCCCCAGTGGGCATGTGTTACAGTGTGCTCTTTTAGTTTAGCCATCCATAGGCGGCTTGTGTTAGTCAGCTCAATTAGACCCCTACCTTATCACAAGGACAGAGGGCTTTCTGTATCCCTGGGGTTCTTGTCTTGGTGTACCGGAAGAACGGATCACATGTGCTCTTGGAGAATGGGTGTAAGGTTTTATGGAAGTAGCTTTCAGCAGATAGGGGAGCCCGAAGGGAGATGGTTTTCCCTTGGAGTCAGGCCGCCGAGTGGCCTGACTCTTCTTTGACCACCCTGACTCTTCTCCCACTGCCCCATCCTAACTCTGCGTCGTTCTGCCAGTCAATGGCCTAGGTCAGTCAGTGGCCTGCCAGTGCCTGTCGGTGTCTCTAGGTATCAAGCCACTTGTGTCTTCTTCAGCCGATCTCCTCTTGATGTCCGGCCACTTGTGTGTCTGCCTGCTAGGGTCCCGGGGGTTTTTATAGGCACAGGATGGGGGCATGGCAGACCAGGGTGGTCTCGGGAAATGCAACATTTGGGCATGAAGGCAGGAGTGCCTGTCCTCACCTAGGTCCATGGGGACAGACCTGGGGGTGGAGCCCTCACCAGGGACCATGCCCTCCTCTACCCAGCACTTCCCTGCCCCACTTCTGTATCAAAACCACAGTCTGGGTGTTAGGAGTTCTCGTTGATTTTTTGTTTGTTTGTTTTCTTTTCTTTTCTTTTTTTTTTTGAGACAGAGTCTCGCTTTGTCACCCAGCCGGGAGTGCAATGGCATGATCTTGGCTCACTACAACCTCCGCCTCCTGGGTTCAAGCGATTCTCCTGCCTCAGCTTCCCAAGTAGCTGGGATTACAGGCACATTCCACCACGTCCGGCTCATTTTGTATTTTTAGTAGAGACAGGGTTTCACCATGTTGGTCAGGCTGGTCTTGAACTCCTCCCAAAGTGCTGGAATTACAGGTGTGAGCCACCGCACCCGGCCATGTTTTTAGGCAGCCATTGTTTTTAGGTCTTTTCAGTGGACCAGGCTAGGAGGTATTTCTTTCTCTTTCTTTTTCATAAAGTACACCATCAGTGCATACTAATCCTTCCAGTTCAGATTCAGGACTACTTGGTTTTACTTAGTCTCGTCAATCTCACATCTTTTTCCTTATCCCACGTTGAAAATCTTGGTTCTTAGTAACATCAACATAATTTAATTCATAATTTGCTTTTGTCCAGTGGAACCAACATAAATTTATCATTTTTATAATATTAATCCACATTTTACACACAACAGTCTCAGAATAAAAGTACCAGTAATACCATCAAGAATATGATTACTACTGAAAATTGGTCTTTAGTTCATTTTGTTTTTGGGGTATATATTCAAATAAGTTTCCAGCATCTATTCCTGTGCTTCCACCCTATTCTTTCCTTCCCACATAGGTATTTTTTAAATTTCACACTTTATTATTCCATTAGAAATATTATATAGACGTATATACTCATATCTCACTTCTTAGGGAAAGAAGAACATATTAAACACACTCTTCTTCTCCTTGCATTTTTTCTTCTTAACAATATATGCTGGTGATCATTCCATAGTAGAAAAAATTTTGTTCCTTTTTAAAAATACCTTGATTGAGATATAATTCACATACCATATAATTCACCCATTTAAAGTGTACACTTCAGTGGTATTTTAGTGTATTTATAGTTTGTGCAACCATCACCACAATCAATTTTAGAACAATTTTATCACCCCTAAAAGAAACCCCAAACACATTAGCACCCACTTTCCATTTCTCCCCTAAACCCCCAATTTCAACTGATTTGAGACAAAATCAGTCTCTATAGATTTGCCTGTCATGCACATTTCATATAAATGGAATATTTTAATATGTTATTCCTTGTCATTGGCTTCTTTCACTTAGCGTAACATTTTTAAAGTCCATCCATGTTGTAGTATATGTATCAGTACATCATTCCTTTTTAATTGCTGACTAATACTCCATTGTATAGCTACATCATGTTTTGTTTATCCATTCATTGGTTGATGGACATTTAGGTTGTTTTCACTTTTTGGCTATTATGAGTAATGCTACTATGAACATTCTTATACAAGTTTTTGTGTGGATATATGGGATTTTAAAATTATTTTCTAAATTGACAAATACAAATTGTTTATATTTATGGTATACAACATGATGTTTTGAAATATGTATACATCATGGAATGGCTAAATCAAACTAATAAACATATGCATTACCTCACATACTTATTGTTTTGTGGTGAGAACACTTAACATCTATCCTCTTAACAATTTTCAAGTGTTAAGATACATTAACTATAATTATGATATTATACAAAGATCTCTTGAATTTATTCCCCCAACTGAAATTTTGTATCCTTTGACCAGTATCTTTCCAATCTGTATACCTCCCTAATCCCCTGATAACCACCATTCTACTCTTCTGCTTCCATGAGTTCAGCTTTTTAAGATTCCACATGTGAGTGAGATCATGCACTATTTGTCTTTCTGTGCCTGGCTTATTTCATTTAACATAGTGTCCTTCAGGCTCATCCATGTTGTTGTAAATGACAGGATTTCCTTCTTTTTTAAGGCTGAATAGTATTCCATTATGTATATACCACATTTTCTTTATCTATTCATTCACTGATGGATACATGGGTTGATTCCATATGTTGACCATTGAAATTAATGCTGCAATGACCATGTAAATGCAGATATCTCTTAAATATACTGATTTTTATTTCCCTTGGATATATACACACTAGTGGGATTGCTGGATTATATGCTAGCTCTATTTTTAATTTTTGAGGACCCTCCATACTGTTTTCTATAATGGCTATACTAATTTACATTCCCATCCACAGTGTACCAGAGTTCCCTTTTCTTCACATTGTCACCACCACTTGTTATCTTGTGTCATTTTGATAGTAGCCATTCTAACAGTTGTGAGGTGATAGCTCATTTTTAAATTTACATTTCCTTGATGATTAGGGATGCTGAGCATTTTTTCACATACCCATTGGCCATTTGTATGTCTTTAATAAATGTCTCTTTAGGTTCTTTGCCCATTGTTTAATCAGGTTATCTGTTTTTTTGATATTGAGTTGAGTTCCTTATATATTTTGGATGTTAACCCCATTTTTGAATTGGGTTGTTTGGTTTTTTGTTGTTGGGTTTTAGGAGTTCTCTGTATATTCTGGATTTTTTTTTTTCTTAGAGATAGGGTCTCACTCTATTGCCCAGGCTGGAGTGTGTCATCATAGCTCACTGCAGCCTTGAACTCCTGGGCCCAAGTGATTCTCCCTCCTCAGTCTCCCAAGTAGCTGAGACTACAGGTACCTGCCACTGCACCTGGCTAATTTTTTGTAGAGATGGGATCTTCCTACAGTGCCCAGTCTGGTCTGCAATCCCTTCAAGAGATCCTCCCGCCTGGACTTCCCAAAGTACTGGGATTACAAGCATCAGCCACCATGCCTGGCTTATTCGGGATGTTAATCCCGCATCAGATATATGATTTGCAAATATTTTCTCCCATTCTGTGTGTTGCCTTTTTACTCTGTTGACAGTGTCTTTTGATGCACAAAAGTTTTAAATTCTCATGAAGTCCAATTTGTCTAATTTTTTCTTTTGTTGCCTGTGCTTTTGGTGTCATATCCAATAAATCATCGCTAAATCCAGTGTTGTGAAACATTTGCCCTATGTTTCCTTCTAACAGTCTTATGCTGTTCCCTAACAGTAATACTGGCCTCAGAAAATGAGTTAGGAAGTTATGCTACTCTTCAACTTATTGTAAAAGTTTGAGAAGGATTTGATGTTTGTTATTTTTTACTGTTTTATTTTTGAGACGAAGTTTCGCTCTTGTTGCCCAGGCTGGAGTGCAATGGCGTGATCTCGGCTCACCGCAACCTCCGCCTCCCAGGTTTAAGCGATTCTCCTGCCTCAGCCTCCCAAGTAGCTGGGATTACAGGCATGCACCACCATGCCAGCTAATTTTTTATTTTTAGTAGACACAGGGTTTCTCCATGTCTCTACTAAAGGTCAGGGTGGTCTTGAACTGACCTCAGCCGATCCACCTGCCTCGGCTGCCAAAGTGCTGGGATTACAGGCATGAGCCACCGCGCCCAGCCTGGTATTCGTTAATTTAAGTGTTGGGTGGAATTCACCAGTGAGGACATCAGGACCAGGGCTTTTCTTTGTTGGGATATTTTCTTTTTTTTTAGACGAAGTTTCGCTCTTGTTACCCAGGCTGGAGTGCAATGGCGTGATCTTGGCTCACCGCAACCTCCGCCTCTCAGGTTTAAGTGATTCTCCTGCCTCAGCCTCCCGAGTAGCTGGGATTACAGGCATGCACCACCATGCCAGCTAATTTTTTATTTTTGGTAGACACAGGGTTTCTCCATGTCTCTACTAAAGGTCAGGGTGGTCTTGAACTCCCGACCTCAGCTGATCCACCTGCCTCGGCTGCCAAAGTGCTGGGATTACAGGCATGAGCCACCGCGCCCAGCCTGGTATTCGTTAATTTAAGTGTTGGGTGGAATTCACCAGTGTGGCCATCAGGACCAGGGCTTTTCTTTGTTGGGATATTTTTTTTTAGACAAAGTCTCGCTCTGTCACCTCGGCTGGAGTGCAGTGGCATGATCTCAGCTCACGGCAACCTCCGCCTCCTGGGATCAAGCAATTCTCTGCCTCAGCCTTCCAAGTAGCTGAGATTACAGGTGCCTGCCACCACCCTTAGCTAATTTTTCTGTATTTTTAGTAGAGACGGGGTTTCACCATCTTGGCCAGTCTGGTCTTGAACTCCTGACCTCATGATAGACCTGCCTTGGCCTCCCAAAGTGCTAGGATTACAGAGCTTGCAATGAGCCGAGATCACGCCATTGCACTCCAGCCCAGGCAACAGTGTGAGACACTATCTCAAAAAAAAAAAAAAGTATTTTTGGCCGGGTGCGGTGACTCACGCCTGTAGTCCCAGCACTTTGGGAGGCTGAGGCAGGCAGATCACATGAGGCTAGGAGTTCAAGACCAGCCTGGCCAACATGGTGAAACCCTGTCTCTGTTAAAAACACAAAAATTAGCCGGGCATGATGGTGCATGTCTGTAATCCCAGCTACTCGGGAGGCTGAGATGGAAAAATTGAACCCGGGAGGTAGAGGTTGCAGTGAGTCAAGATCATGCCTCTGCATTACAGCCTGGGTGACAGAGCAAGACTCTGTCTCACAAAAAAAAAAAAAAAAGAAAAAGAAAGAAAGAAAAAAATGTATTTTTAATTTCCACAAATTTGTGAATTTACCAGTTTTATTTCTGTTGATGATTTCTAACTTCATCCTGTTGTAGTCAAATAAGATACTCTGTATGATATCTATCTTTTAAAATCTATTGAAACTTTTTTTTGGCCACAGTCTCACTCTGTCACCCAGGCTGGAGTGCAGTGGTGAGATCTCAGCCTCTATATGTCTCAGTTTTCTATATGTCTGCTAAATCTAGTTGATTTATTTTGTTGTTTAAGTCCTGTATTTTCTAACTTATATTCTGTTTGTTCTATCCATTATTGAGACTGAATGTTGAAGTCTCAAGCTATTATTATACAATTGTCTTTTTCTGTGTTCAATTCTGTCAGTTTTTGCTTCATATATTTTGATGGTCTGTCATTAGGTGTGAAAATATTTATAATTGCTTATAATCTTGCTGTATTGAACCTTTTATTAATAATGTCCTTCTTTGTCTCTTGTACTCTTTGAAAATTTAAAGTTATTTCATCTGTTATTAATATAGTCACTCTGTTGTCTTTTGTTTACTATTTGAATGGAATATCTTTTTCTATCCTTTCACTTTCAGTTTAGTTATGTCTTTGGATCTAAAATGAGTCTCCTGTAGACAGCATTACTTGGATCATGTGGTTTCTTGGGGGGTTTTTTTTGAGATGGAGTTTCACTCCTGTTGCCCAGGCTGGAGTACAATGGCGCGATCTCAGCTCACTGCAACCTCCACTTCCCTAGTTCAAGCGATTCTCCTGCCTCAGCCTCCCGAGTAGCTGGGATTACAGGTACTTGCCACCATGCCCAACTAATTTTTTGTATTTTCAGTAGAGACGGGGTTTCACCATGTTGACCAGGCTGGTCTTGAACTCCTGACCTCAGGTGATCTGCCCACTTCGGCCTCCCAAAGTTCTGGGATTACAGGTGTGAGCCACCGCGCCCGGCCTGGATCACATGTTTTTTGTCCATTCTGCCAATCACTGTCTTTTAATTAGATAATCAATCTATTTATATTTAATTACTGATAAACAGCAACTTCTGTCATTTTGCTATTTGCTTTCTATATGCATTGTAGCTTTTTTGTTCCTCGTTTCCTGCTTTACTGTCTTTTGTGTTTAGTTGATTTTTTTATGGTGAAATGTTTAAATTCCTTTCTCATTTCCTTTGTGTATATTCTATAGCTATTTTCTTTGTGGTTACCATGGGGATTACATCCTGAAGTTATATCACTGTAATTTGAATTTATACAAGTTTAACTTCAATAACATATAAAAACTCTGCTCCATTACAGCTCCATCCCCACCCCTTTCAGTTGTTCATGTCACAAAATGACATCTTTACACATTGTGTGCCCCAAAACATAAACTAACAATCCTTTTAAATGCATTAATCTCTTAAATTATATCTTTTACACATTGTATGCCCAAAACATAAACTAATAATTCTTTTAAATGTGTTAATCTCTTAAATTATATACAAAACAAAATGTGGAGATATAAACCAAAATTACAGTAATACTAGCCATTCAGCTATTAATAATAATTGTGTTGTTTTAAATGTATAGTCTCTTAAATTATGTAGAGAACAAAAAGTGGATTTACAGACCGTTGTTACACTAATACTATCTTTCATAATTGCTCATGTATTTGCCTTTATTGGGATCTTTCTTTCTTATACAGCTTTGAGTTACTTCCTAGTATCTTTTCATTTCACCTTTCAGGACTTATTTGAGCATTTCTTCCAAGGCAAGTCTAGTTGTAACAAACTCCCTTAGCTTTTGCTTATCTGGGAATGTAGCTTTTGTTTATCTGGGAATGTCTTAATTTATTCCTTACTTTTTTTTTTTTTGGAGATGGAGTCTCACTTCATCGCCCAGGATGGAATGCAGTGGCATGATCTCCACTCACTGCAATCTCCACCTCCTGGGTTCAAGCAGTTCTCCTGCCTCAGCCTCCCGAGTAGCTGGGACTACAGGTGTGCACCACCACGCCCAGCTAATTTTTGTATTTTTAGTAGAGATGGGGTTTTGCCACGTTGGCCAGGCTGGTCTAGAACTCCTGACTTCAAGTGATCTGCCTGCCCCAGCCTTCCAAAGTACCAAGATTATAGGTGTGAGCCACCACACCCAGCCTCTCCCTTACTTTTGAAGGACAGTTTTGCCAGATATATGATTCTTGGTTGACAATTCTTTCTCTTAGCATCTTGATATATTATCCCACTGCTTTCTGGCCTCCAAAGTTTCTGATTAGAAATTTGCTGATGATCTTATTGAGGATCTCTTGTATGTGACTAGTCAGTCTCTTGATGCCTTCAGAATGTTCTCTTTGCCTTTGGCTTTTGACAGTTTGATTTTTTTTTTTTTTTCAGAGCAGGAGTAGAAGTTTATTTTAAAAGGCCTTAGAGGCCAGACACGGTGGCTCATGCCTGTAATCCCAACACTTTGGGAGGCCGAGGCAGGCAGATCATGTGGTCAGGAGTTTGAGACCAGCCTGGCCAATATGGTGAAACCCCGTCTCTACCAAAAAATACAAAAATTAGCCGGGGGTGGTGGCGTGTGCCTGTAGTTCCAGCTACTCGGGAGGCTGAGGCAGGAGAATTGCTTGAACCTGGGAGGCGGAGGTTGCCGTGAGCCAAGATCATGCCATTGCACTTCAGCCTGGGCAACAGAATGAGACCCTGCCTCAAAAAAATAAATAACTAAATAAATAATAATCATAATAATAAAAGGCCTTAGAAAAGAAAGGAAGTGCACTTGGAAGAAACCAAAGCAGGCACATGAAGTTTAAAGAGAGAAGATCAAGTGCCAACAGTTTGATTTTAATGTGTCTCAGTGTATGTCTCTTTCAGTTCATCTTTCTTGGAGTTTCTTCTTCTTCTTAGATGTTTATATTTGTATTTAATCAAATTGATGAAGTTTTCATACATTATTTCTTCATATATTCTATCTGTCCCTTTCTCTTTGTCTTTTCCTTCTGGGACTCCCACAGTGCATATACTGGCCTACTTAATGGTATCCCACATATCCCTTAGGCTCTGTTCACTTTTCTTCAATATTTTTCTCTTCCTATTTCTCAGACTTGATAATTTCTATTGTCCTGTCTTCAAGTTCATGGATTCTTTTGTCTGCCTTCCCAAATCTGCCTTTGAATACCTCTAGTGAATTTTTAATTTCAATATTGCACTTTTTAGCTCCAGGATTTCTTTTTGCTTTCTTTTTAGGTTTTCCCTGTATTGGCATTTCTATTTTGTTAATACATTGTTTTCTTGATGTTCTCCACATCTTCATGAGTTCTTTGAGCATCTTTAAGACAGTAGTTTTAAAGTCTTTATCTAGTTGATCTGCCATCAGGTCTCTTTCAGAGAATTTCTATTCATTCATTTTATTCTTTTGTTTTTATTTTTATTTTTATTTTATTTTATTTTTGAGACAGAGTATCACTCCATTGTCCAGGTGGAGTGCAGTGGCATGATCTCAACTCACTGCAACCTCCACCTCCTGGGTTCATGCAATTCTCCTGCCTCAGCCTCCTGAGTAGCTGGGATTATAGGCTAATACAAAAATTAGCCATCACACCTGGCTAATTTTTGTATTTTTAGTAGAGACAGGTTTCACCATGTTGGCCAGACTGGTCTTGGAACTCCTGACCTCAAGTGATTCACCTGCTTTGGCCTCCCAAAGTGGTAGGATTACAGGCATGAGCCACTGTGCCTGGCCTGTTTTCAAATTTTTTTAACAATTTTATTCTAAAAAATAGAAACAGGGTCTCATTATGCTGCTCAAACTGGTTTCAAACTCCTGGCCTTAAGGGATCCTTCTGCCTTAGCTTCCCAAAGTGTTGGGATTATAGGTGTGAGCCACTGTGCCTGGCCTCATATTTTTCCTTTAGATGTGTCATATTTTATTGTTTCTTTGTATGCTTTGTGATTTTTTTTTTTCTTTTTGAAATGGAGTCTCGCTCTTTCGCCCAGGCCAAACTGCAGTGGCACTATCTCGGCTCACTGCAAGCTCCCCCTCCCAGGTTCACGCCATTCTCCTGCCTCAGCCTCCCGAGCAGCTGGGACTACAGGCGCCCGCCACCACGCCCGTCTAATTTTTTGTATTTTAATTAGAGACAGGGTTTCACCTGTTAGCCAGGATGGTCTCGATCTCCTGACCTCGTGATCCACCCGCCTCAGCCTCCCAAAGTGCTGGGATTACAGGCGTGAGCCACCGCGCCCGGCCAATTTTTTGTATTTTTAGTAGAGATGGGGTTTCACCATGTTAGCCAGGATGATCTCGATCTCCTGACCTCGTGATCCGCCCGCCTCAGCCTCCCAAAGTGCTGGGATTACAAGTGTGAGCCACTGCGCCTGGCTGTGATTTTTTTGATTGAAAAGTGGACATTGGAATCTCATAATGTAGTAACTCTGGAAATTAGGTTCTCTCTTTTCCCAGGGGTTTACTGTTTTTTGTTATAGTTTTTGTTTTTTTGATTGGTGTAGACTGCACCAAAGGATAGGCTAAAGTGTAAAGTTAAGATAGGCTGGGCACAGTGGCTTATGCCTATAATCTCAGCACTTTGGGAGACCAAGATGTGTGGTTGAGCTCAGGAGTTTGAGACTAACCTGGGCAACATGGCAAGGTCTCTACTAAAAACACAGAAATATACCTGGGCGTGGTGGTGTGTACCTGTGGTCTCAGCTACTTAGGAGGCTGAGGTGGGCAGATTGCTTGAGCCTGGTAGGTGGAGGTTGCAGTGAGCCAAGATTGGGCCACTGCACTCCAGCCTGAGTGATGGAGCCAGATCCTGTCTCAAAAAAATCTCAGGTCTTTTCTGAGCCAGTGCATTTCCCCGGACATGTGTCATCACTTTCTAAATTTTCCCATATATGCAGTTGCTTTTTAATGTCTTAGTCTTAAATGTCTGGCTTCCAAAAGGGGAGAATGAGAAAAACTAAAGGGACAGAAAAAAGGATCCGGACCTATAATTCCTCTAGAAGTCACTTCAGTAAGAGGGGGAGGGACTTGCAATAATGGTGGAAGATGCAACAATGGCCTCCCTCTCTTTGTCTGCACCTCTGTGATCAGAAGCAGCGCATAGATCCCCAGTATTGGAGGACTAGGTCTTTTCTGTTCACACTTGCTCCAGCAAGCTGTGTGCATGCTGCACCAGGAACATGTGTTTGGGGCTGGAGGTGGGGGATGGGACCTGCTATTGTGCTAAGGGTTGAAATTGATTGAAATTAGCCTCACTTTACTGTCCAAGCTTTCCACTGGATGTTGCAAGCACTCAGTATTCCAACAATTACACTGGTAGAATCTGTGTGATGTAATTATTTTGGAACACCAGAGAAACTGTTCACTAGGTGAGGAGACAGATTTTGGGTGCTTCCTACTCCACCACCTTCTCAGAATCTCGCCTCCTCAAACGGTTTCGAAACTCTTTTTTGTAAAATTTATGCCTACCTATTGTATTAGTCAGGGTTATCCTAATCAACCATATATCCTATTGGTTAGTCAGAACTAATAGGATATAGGTATATATAAAAGGGAATTTATTAAGGAGAATTGGCTCACACAGTTACAAGGCAAAGTCTCATGATAGACCATCTGCAAGCTGGAGAAAGAGAAAATCCAATAGCGGCTCAGTCCAAGGCCAAAAGCCTCAAAACCAGGGAAGACGACAGTGCAGCCTTCAGCCTGCAGCCAAAAGGCCTAGAGCCCCAGGAAGCTGTTGGTGTAAGTCCCAAAAGCTGAAAAACCTGGAGTCTGATGTCCAAGGACAGGAGGAGAGGAAGCATCCAACATGGGAGGAAGAAAGAGAGCCAGTAGACTCAGCGAGCAAAGCTATCCCACCTTCCTCCCCCTGCCTTGTTCTAGCAGCACTGGAAGCTGATTGGATGGTGCCCACCACATTGAGAGTGGGTCTTTGTCTTCCAGTCCACTAACTCAAATGTCAGTCTCCTCTGGCAATACCCTCACAGACACACCCAGAAAAAATGCTTTACCAGCCACCTAGGCATCCCTCAATCCAGTCAAGTTGACACCTAATAGTAACCATCACATATATTTACTTTCATTTTTGCTTTTATAAATCAGGGCTTTTCTTTCCTTATGTCTTCCGACTGATTTTGTCTATGAAAGCTATTGATTTGGTTTCTGTAGTTTTTCTATTCTTTTGATCTTTTGGAAACATAATTATATAAACATGCAAATTCCAATTTTTCCTTTCAAATTTTTATGCTTCTAATTGCTTTCTCATGTCTATTAGCTAATACTTTCAATACAGTAATTAAACTATAGTAAAGGTAGTGGGCATTTTTTTCTTGTTCCTGAGTTTAGTGGGAAATACCCTCATATTTCTCTATTAAGTAAGATCCTGGTTTGGGGATGAAGTTTATATTTATTTTATCATGTTATTTATTTTATTATTGAAGTATACTATCAATTCTTATAGAGTCTGGCGTTCTATCATTCCTTCTTCACCACTTTTTTTTTTTTTTTTTTCCTTTTGAGATGGAGTCTCACTCTGTCACCCAGGCTGGAGGGCAGTGGTACAATCTCGGCTCACTGCAGCCTCTGCCTCCCAGGTTCAAGGAATTCTCCTGCCTCAGCCTCTCAAGTATCTGGGACCACAGGTACACGCCACCATGCCTGGCTTGGTGTATTTTTTTGTATTTTTAGTAGAAACAGGGTTTTACCATGTTGACCAGGCTGGTCTTGAACTCCTGACCTCAGATAATCCACCCACCGTGGCCTCCCAAAGTGCTGGTATTACAGGCGTGAGCCACCACGCCTGACCCACTTTTTTTTTTTCTTTGAGACAGGGTCTCTGTCACCCAGGCTGGAGTGTAGTGGCATGATCATAGCTCACTGCAGCCTCAACCTCTTAAGCTGAAGTGAGCCTCCTATCTCAGCCTGCCAAGTAGCTGGGACCACAGGTGTGCATCACAACACTCAGCTATTTTTTTTTTATTATTTATTTTTTTGTAGAGTCAGGATCTCACTATGTTGCCTAGGCTGGTCTTGAACTCCTGGGCTCAAGTGATCCTCCCACCTTGGCCTCCCAAAGTGCTGGGATTACAGACGTGAGCCACTGCACCCAGCCTCCTTCATTTTTTAAGCTAGAATAGTTCTATGGAGTAAAACATTGCTTCATGATCACCTGTCTTTTCATTTTCTTAAAAAAAGGACAATAGAATTTTTTTAAGGATTTGTGCTAGAGATTTCGCTCTCCTGTCAAATTTCCTTGAAAAATTATTTGTATCATTTCTCTTAAGACAGTTTGGCTAATGTTTTTCTTAAACTAGTACAGCTATGGTTCGTTTAAGGAAATCTCCCAAGAGTTACTAGCTAATATAAAATGCTGCTAAGAGTAGCCATTTGCATTTTGTAAACATTTGCCTAATTCTGGTGAGTCAGATGTTTGATTTTGAACCTGCATTTTATTTATTAGAATGGCCCAAATATGATAGATGTTTTAACATTTCATTTTAAAAGTACGGATATTGAATTTAGTAAGATGACCTGTGTTGTAGTTTTGAGAAAAAAGCATTTTTTTCTTCCAATAAAGGGAAACCCACCATGTAAAAATACGGTAGACTTGGTGTTACCTTCTATTGACTTGAACTAGGATGTATTTTCATTAGCATTTGAGTGTTATTTGAGAAGACTTTAATATTTTTCTTTTTTTTTTTTTTTTTTTTTCTGAGACAGAGTCTTTCTCTGTCACCCAGGCTGGAGCGCAGTGGCGTGATCTCGGCTCACTGCAACCTCCACCTCCCGGGTTCAAGCGATTCTCCTGCCTTAGCCTCCTGAGTAGCTGGGATTACAGGCACACACCACCACACCCAGCTAATTTTTGTATTTCTAGTAGAGATGGGTTTTCACCATGTTGGTCAGGCTCTTTTCGAACTCCTGACCTCATGATCCTCCTGCCTCGGCCTCCCAAAGTGCTGAGATTACAGGTTTGAGCCACCATGCCTGGCCTAATATTTTTCTTATTAGCACATTTTTGTTTCTCTGCTGATATGTCTTACATTTTCAGAGCTTTGTCTTCCAAAGTGTTTGTAGGTTGGTATTTAATATACATTGTATGTTCATATTCAATATAATTGGTGATGATGAGTAGTAGGGCAAGGAGTATTGGTTAAGAGAGGCCAAGCTGATATTGAAAATATAACTTGGTAAAATCTAAAAAATAGATAATTTCACAAGATAATAGAAAGTTGATTGTATATCTTATTATACCTTCATATTTAATGCTCAATCAGGCATCTATCATTTCCCGTAAAAAAGAAGCCAAAGCTGAGGAACTTCAGGAGGCCAAGGAGAAGTTAGCCAGCCTAGAGAGAGAAGCATCAGTAAAGAGAAATCAGACCCGTGAATTTGATGGTACTGAAGTTTTAAAGGGAGATGAGGTAAGCTGAGCCATCTCATGGGACAAGGGTATGAGTATTGTTTTTATGTGAAACTATTAGTGTGTTTGACTTTCTTAGTGTGAATGTTAATATTGGGACGTTAATCTTATTTTATAAAACATATTTAAAACTGAAGAGTCTTTTTGCAATAATACTGAGATTATTTTTTTCTTTTTCTTTTTTTTTCTTTTTGAGATGGAATTTCACTCTTGTCACCCAGGCTGGGGTGCAATGGCGGGATCTCTGCTCACTGCAACCTCCGCCTACCAGGTTCAAGTGATTTTTCTGTCTCAGCCTCCCACATAGCTGGGATTATAGGTGCCTGCCAACATGCCCAGCTAATTTTTGTATTTTTAGTAGAGACAGAGTTTTACCATGTTGGCCAGGCTGCTCTTGAACTCCCGACCTTGGGTGATCTGCCTGCCTTGGCCTCCCAAAGTGCTGGGATTACAGGCGTGAGCCACCACGCCTGGCCATACTGAGAATTTCTTGATGTAAAATGGCAGATATGTTAATGATTTTACGAGATATTATGTTCCAAATTTTCACTTTTTTTTTTTTTTTTTTTGAGACGGAGTCTCGCTCTGTCGCCCAGGCTGGAGTGCAGTGGCGCGATCTTGGCTCCCTGCAACCTCTGCCTTCTGGGTTCAAGTGATTCTCCTACCTCAGCCTCCTGAGTAGCTGGGATTACAGGTGGACGTCACCAGGCCTGGCTAATTTTTGTATTTTTAGTAGAGACGGGGTTTCACCAGGTTGGTCAGGCTGGTCTCAAACTCCTCACCTCATGATCTGCCCGCCTCGGCCTCCCAGAGTGCTGGGATTACAGGTGTGAGCCACTGCACCCGGCCCCAAATTTTCACTTCTTAATTAAGTGAATTTATATTGGATTTAATTATTTATAAATATTAAATTATAAAAGTGAAAAACGTTAGTAGCAAACAGATAATACAAAAATCTATATTTGTTGGTAAATGCATTTCCATAAAGGGCTAAGAAAATATCATTAAGTTATTTTGTCAGTAATGTATACTTGTCTGGTGGGACTGACATGATTAAAATGACCTCATCATAGAAGCTTACAACTTTAAAAAAATATAATTGTGTCTCACATTGCAATATACTTTAAATTTTGAACAATGCTTTAACAGCTTTTGTTTCATTTATCCTTCTGTCAGACTCATAAGATTAGTGGGACAAATAATATTTTTTATAGATGGCTAAACTCAAGCACCAAAAATATAATTTTCCATCCTCTTTTCATAAAATTAGCCCAGGAATGAATGAATAAATGAAGTCAAATATCTTAGTTTAGTGCTTTTTTAGCAAAATAAAGCAATAGGTCATATTTTAATTTGTAAACATTGCTTGGACTTTACCAATTTTTACAGGCTTTTAAATTTTGTAACAGCTACTAGATCTCAGCAAAAGCTATCGTGGAAAGCTACTCTTGTCCAAACCTCATTTTTGGCTTTGAAAAGTTATTGAATCCATACTGTTACAAATTGGCAGTGAACCTTCACTGTGCCAAACAAATGAATTGCTCCCATAGTACCACTTTTCTCTGTGGTACTTCAGGTTGTACCCTCCCAATGTGCCTTTTAGCTTGCTGGGGAAGTAGTAGATTCAGGAAGTCAACATGTGATTGAAAAATTCCCTTGGCTTTTAACATCCACTTCCAAATTGGTTTAAGACATGGGAGTGTTTTAAATGATATCTGGAAGTCAACAGTGTATGCTTCATGACATCTTTGCTGTCTAGAGAAAAAAATAAAAGATCAATTATGCAGCAGTTTCGCTTTACAAGAGACTATGCCACCTCCTAGCATTTTTATCTTTTCTTAAGAAAATGCTGCCTAAATCACAGGAAATACTAATTGTTATGGCCGTATTTGGCATAAATAGTACTTACAATTCAGTGTTAGATGTTCCCTCTATGCAAATGTGAGGGAAAAAACCTAGTGCCAGGTTATTAGCCTTTATTTTTGAGAAATCATGGTGAATAGGAGACGGATCCAATGACAGGGAAAAAAAAAAGCAGTCTTTTTTTTTAAGGGGAAAAAGATGTCATCATTTGGAAATGATAACTTAATTTTTGAACAATGTCTGGTCGGAAAAGAACAAATCAAGTAAGGTATTTGGCAGTTACCTAAAAGAACAGAAGGTATCGGGGAACATTAAGCATAATTTTATAAAGAACAAATCTTGGTATACCAGTTTTATTTTCTACTATGATAAAGTGATAGGCCATATGGACAAAAGAGAAGAAGTTTCTTATATTTAAAATTATATAATACAGCTGGAGGTATAATTCACTGAGGTGCCTGATTTAGTATCACATGGTTCACTGAGGTTTCTGGTTTGATATCACATAGTAATCTCCAAAAAATCATGTCCTTTGCCCCCCATCTGTTAAACAGTTGGTGAGAAGGTATTGATAATTAGTGGCATGGTGTTTGGAAAGAACACTATGCCAGGAATCACATGCAAAATGAGGAAAGGGGGACTCACATTTATTGAGCACTTTTTATACAAAGCTCTGTTCCAGGTACTTTGCAAATAGATACTTTTTTACTTCTTGTAAAAGGTGTTGTTACCATTTCCCTGTCACAGTTGAGTGATGCTCGAGGAGATTGCAGTTTCACACAGCTAGTAAGTGGCCAAGCTAAGACCCAGGACCTCTCTAAGATCTGTTGACCTTGAAGAAATTACTCGACCTCCCTGAGGCTTCTCTATCTGTAAAATGGGGCTGATTGCTCTTTATTATCTCTAGGAAAGGCACATGAAATAATAGGTGCTAAAGCTTCTGAGAAACTCAAAGGCTCAGTCAACATATAACACCTGGCATCTGAAAGTAATCATTTGCATGGGTGGTATGTTAACTATGTGTGTCAGAGGCAGCATGGTGGAGTGGTTAAGAGTGGCTCTAGAACTTGGTTGTTTGAGTGCAAATCCTGGTTTTGCCGTTTACCAGCTGGATGACCTTGGACGAGTTCCTTACCCTCTTTATACTCAGCTGTAAAATGTGAATGTTTGTAGTATGTAACTCCTAGAATTATTTTGAGGATTAATTGAACATGCTTAGAACAGCACTAGGCACATAGTAAATGCTGTGTGTTAGTTCTTAGTATTTGTATATTTTTGTCAATCACTTGGATGAAGAATTTGAAAGCTAGAAATATAGTTCACAGCTTAAAAGTTGAAACTAGTATTTCCCAGACTGGGAGCAATTTAGTGGAAATAAATATGAAATAGTTTCTGTTTAGGAATAAATAATTTACACAAATTTAAAATGGAATAAGATAGCATTAATGAGAATAATTCTAGCTGCCATTCTCTGAGCAGTTACTGCATGCTCAGTCTTGAGCACTTAAAAAATATAGCTTTAGTAATGGTTATACAACAGCAACATGAATGTACTTAAAGCCACAGAACTGTATACTTAAAAATGGTAAAAGTGGTAAATTTTATGTTATCTCACAATATACCCTAATTCATCCTCTCAGAAAGCCTCTGAAGTAAATATTACCTCCATTTTGTAACTTAAGAAACAGAGAAATTGAAATAATTTTCCCAAAGTTACACAGTTAGCATGTAAGAGACTATTGCCATCCTAATGGCAATATTTTATTGCCATCAAATATGATTCCTAAAATTTACCCATTCCTATAGTGCCTTGGAGATGGCACTATTAGAATGGGTAAATTTTAGGAATCATATTTGACTCTAAAGAGGACTACACTGTGAACAATCATTAATTGGGAAGTGTATATTTGCCAGAAATTATATGACAGCCATTTGTTTGGATGTAAAACTTTATTCCTTGATTGTCGATATGTAGTTATTTGATTGATCTTATCTTGGAAAAATTTAGGAACATAATGTTAATTTGCGTAAATGTAACAAGTTCTAGACATATACAGTGATTTATATTCTTTAGTCATTTTCTTTTTAGAGGTCCATTAGCAGTTTTTAGTTTGGTGGTGAAGTATACATTTTGATGCTTCCTACTGCCATTAAAGTTAATGTTCCAGATGTTACATACTGTCTAAGAGTTTTAGCTCTTCTGATTGCAGATGCTACAGATATTTTTTTCTTTACTAGGCCTTTTTATTGGTATTTCATTGGTTTTCCTTATTAGTAAAAGACGAAGTTTCTGGAAGTACTTCCCCCCCATTGTACTTTATCATTTTAACATTTTATTTTCATAAAGTAAGGCAGTACACAGGAATAAGCACAGGCATGTATTTTTCTCTTATCTGCCAGAGTTCTGACATAAGTAGGAATTGCTTGAACAGTTGAAATGATCTTCTCAGTGATAAAAGATACATTTTCCTACCCATCCAGTCAATCTTGATTTCTTTCCCTTCATACCAGTATTTGAAAGATGATAGAAACTACACTCTATTAAATGACTACATTTAGTTTAGAGATTACACCCTGCTAACATAACTGAAAATAAATAGTAATGAATATTTTACTGTTTTTATATCTCAAAGGTTTTTATATTGAATTTTAAGTATATCTTAATATAAATCTGGTTGAATTGATAGTCTCAAAATATTTTGATTGCTGTCATCTCTGAGGAAATGTACACACAAAAAATGCCATGGAGATTTGCCCTTTATCCTGATTTGTTTATTATTATCAATACTTTAGATAAATAATAATTTTTTAATTAGGCAATTACAACGTGCCATATATCATACTAGGCTTCTTATATACATTATTCTCATTTTTGTCATTGTACGACTCTGTAAGTACAATTTTTTTTTATTTAGGTTTCTTTTTTTTTTTTTTTTTCCCCAGAGACAGGATCTCACTCTGTCACCCAGGCTGGAGTGCGGTGGTGTGATCATGGCTTACTGCAGCCTGAAACTCCTAGGCTCAAGTGATCCTCCTACCTCAGCCTCCTGAGAAGCTCGGACTACAGGCACGAGCCACCATGCCCAGCTAATTTTCTTTTTTTGTTTTGTTTTGTAGAGATGTGGTCTCACTATGTTTCCCAGGCTGGTCTTAAACTCCCGGCCTCAAGCAGTCCTCCCACTTCGGCCTCCTGAAGTGTTAGGATTACAGGCGTGAGCCTGCGCCTGGCTGTAATTACTATACCCAGTTTTTACAGATAAAGGATCTGAGACATGCAGAGGTTTTAAGCTGACTTGCCTGACACCCCATTGCTAGTAAGTAGTAGAACCAGGAGTTGGATTTAGCAGTCTGGCTGTAGAGTCATCAATAGTTTGCACATGACAGAAAGCTGGAAGAAATAGTCAACCTGAAACACATGATGGAATTATAATTCAGAATCATCTTGGTAGATAGGGGCACTGTGCTTAAACAAAATGCCATTAATGGGATTATAATAAATATAATGTGGTAGAATTCAAGTTTTGTTTGCCAATTCAACACATCATCTGTTACTAACGCAGCTTTAAAAAATGCATAAACGATTATACTACATTAATTTTTTTAAAAAGTATCCTGTTTATGGTCTGATTATGCCTGGAGTATTATTTTATATTTTTGACTTCATGTTTTAAGAGACAATCATGCCAGAGTCCCACATGAGGGTGACTAAAATGGACAAAAAGTCTGGAAACTTTCATATCAATAATTGATTATGTATTAACTGAAACAAAAGACTAGAGAAAGACACAGTGGGAATTGATTATGTATTAACTGAGGAATAAAAGACTGAAGAAAGACATAATAAATAGTTAAAGGATTATGGAAAAGATGGTGTTCAGAAAAAAATTAACATGCAGGCCTGAGACTGCTATCCCTAGAAAGGTCTGCTTGCAAAGTTGGCCCTTGGCTGGCATCTGGGGGAACTTGGTTCTTGGATGGATTCCTGCCATTCACTGATAAGAATGGCTCACCTTGCCTAAAGTATATGAAGAGTGTGCTTTATGTCGAGCTCCTGCTTGCTTGCCTCTTTCTTTGTCTTTCTTTCTTTTCCTTCCTCCCTTCCTTCCTTCCTTCCTTCCTTCCTTCCTTCCTTCCTTCCTTCCTTCCTTCCTTCCTCTCTCTCTCTCTTTCTTTCTTTCTTCTTTCTGGAATTTTGGTACAGGCTAGGCAGAATGTGCCTAGATGATCAGCTCCTAGTAAAAACCTTGAGAACTAAGTCTCTAATGAGCCTCCCTGATCATTTCATGCGTGTTGTTATAACTCATCACTGGAGGAATTAATTATGCCCTCTGTGACTGCAGTGGGAGACAACTTTTAGAAGTTTGCACCTGGTTTCCTCCAAATTTCACCCCATGTGCCTTTTCCCTCTGCGATTTTGCTTGGTATTCAGTGTAATAAATCATAGCTAAGAGTATGACTGTATACTTTGAGTTCTCCCAGTGAATCACTGAATCTAGAGATGGTCTTGGGGACCCCTGACACAGATGGATTAGTGTTATTTTTTTTGTTTATGAGAAAGCCAAATTAGGACCAATGAATGGTGATTAGAATGAAATATTTGATTGACTTCAGAGAAAAATGTCTACCACTTGAGCTTTCTTCAGTAATGGAGCAGCCTGACAGTCTCACTCTGTCACTCAGGCTGGAGTGCACTGACATGATCTCAACCCACTGCAACCTCCGCCTCCCGGGTTCAAGCGATTCTCATGCCTCAGCCTCCCAGGTGGCTGGGATTGCAGGTGCCCACCACCATGCCCGACTAATTTTTGTATTTTTAGTACAGACGGAGTTTCACCATGTTAGCCAGGCTGGGCTTGAACTCCTGACCTCAAGTGATCCGCCCACCTCGGCTTCCCAAAGTGCTGGGATCACAGGCTTGAGCCACCTCACCCAGCCCAGATAAGGGACATTTTTGAAGTAATGTGTGCACTAAGTAGAAGAACATTGGATCTGTATTTTGGGTTGGGTTTTTTAATCTTTATTTATTTTATTTATTTATTTTTTGAGATGGAGTCTTGCTCTGTTGCCCAGGCTGGAGTGCAGTGGTGCGATCTTGGCTCACTGCAAGCTCTGCCTCCCGGGTTCACGCCATTCTCCTGCCTCAGCCTCCCGAGTAGCTGGGACTACAGGTGCCCGCCACCATGCCCGGCTAATTTTTTTGTATTTTTAGTAGAGATGGGGTTTCACCATGTTAGCCAGGATGGTCTCAATCTCCTGACCTCATGATCCACCCGCCTTAGCCTCCCAAAGTGCTGGGATTACAGGCGTAAGCCACTGTGCCTGGCCAGGTTTTTTAATCTTAAAAAATCTGATTATGCCAGGCATTGTGGTTCATGCCTGTATTATTTTTTAAATACCTGGTGAGAAACTTAAATTTGCCATTTAATCTGGTAGCCTTCAGCTACCTCTTTTGGCGTGATTTTTGCTGTTTCATAGGCAGCAATCTCAGCTTGAAGACTTTCTCTCATTTACTGGAAGGACGAAGAATAGAACATGTGCCTCTTGTAAGTAGTGCCAGTAGCTAGTGATTTTACCATCTTAGTCACCTTGATCTCTCTGATTCTCTGCTTTCATAATTTGAAAGAGCAAACAAAAAATCAGTCCCAATGATATGCAGTACTAGTACCCTTCCCAGAGTGGTCATTCAGATGAATGCATGCCTTTGGGATCTG
The DNA here is from genome assembly GCF_000001405.40 of Homo sapiens. Classification (NCBI taxonomy): domain Eukaryota; kingdom Metazoa; phylum Chordata; class Mammalia; order Primates; family Hominidae; genus Homo; species Homo sapiens. The sequence continues at coordinate 110,170,639 of NC_000012.12, forward strand.
AATTTTTTTTATAGCAATAAATGTACCTCCAGTTAAGGTTCCACTGGAACTCATGCAATGAAAGGTCATCCTTGGTTTATGGTGTATGGGAGTATTATAGTCCATTGTGTTTTCTCCCCTGACCATCACAAGAAGCTCAGCTGTTTTGTAGTTACAGCTACTTTTAAAATATGCTTGGTCAAATAATATTTATAAGCAGCTTTAGAAAGGGCCAGCCAATTCATTCTACAGCTACTGACAAATCTTAGAGCTAAATTGGAAAGATTATGAAATCTTCTTTAAATACTTCAAAGAGAAGCACAATGAAGATAAGGGAATCCTGGCAAGATGTGCTGCAGCTGTCAGGTCCTGAAAAATTAGGAATCAAATTTTGACACTTGTAATTGAATCATCCACCCTTCTAAGTGAGCCTAGGCAAACCTGTGATATTTTTAGAACCTTTCAAATCACATTGTACTCTTTAGAGTTCATAGCAGGACCTGAGGCCCCTAAAATTTCCCAAGAGAAAGAACAAAACAGAATCAAATAAATTTGGCTCAGTTCACTGTAATAGAAGTGTAGTGTATTATGCATGCAGTCTAGGTAATGCCACACTTTTAACCCCAAATTTTAAAAGTTTTCATGGATTTTTTTTTTTTTTCTGGAGAATTAACTGCTTGGACAGCAGTGGAAGCACCCGTTAGAGATAGTAACAGCTGTGTGGTGGTGATTTGATTTATAATAGAAGCACAGAGACCTTGGATGGTGTGATTAACTGTGTTCCACAGATGGATGTTCCTGTGTCACAAATTTCATTTAATACAGATTTCTACCCGCATATATCATATCGATTATTACAGACTCTCTTAAAAGACTGAGCAGTTAACTAGCCACTACCATATGTAGATAATTACATTGCTTATGCTTGACTTGGTGAGATTTTCTAATTTACAGTTGAAAATGTGCCACTAACAGGTTAGAAAAGGTTAGAATAGTATTTTTATGTGTATTTATGTGGGACTAGTTATGATGCGTGATTTTAAAAGACTGTCATTTTAGCAAATAACAAAGGCTGCTTTGAACATTTTCTCTTGCCTTAAAACAAAGAGCAACTCTGAGACCAGACTTCAGGGAATCCAAATAATTTATTGGAGCGTGACATGATGGCCTTTTCAGGTTTTCTTCAAGTCTGAAGTTCTGTCTAGAGCACAAGACACTGACAAATGAGCAGAAAGACTGTGGGCTTTGTGTATATTCATGCCACTCCTAAACAGTTGGTTCTATCTCATCTCGTGCCTAACTCCCTTGGGCCAATTCCTGTAGTTGTCTATGCTTATACATCGTTTGATGAAATAACTGACAAAGATGTGATTTAATTAAGAAATGGAAAATAGCATGGATGTTGGACTAGCAGGATTTGAAGACAAAAGTGTTCATTCTAGTTATTTTTTCTAACTTACTGAACTTTGGTAAGTAGTATTAATTTCTCTGTAGGTTTCCTAGTGCTTTTTTATTTTAAAAAATGGTTCTGGCCAGACGTGGTGGCTCAGGCCTGTAATCCCAGCACTTTGGGAGGCCGAGGCAGGAGGATCACCTGAGGTCAGGCGTTCTAGACCAGCCTGGCCAACGTGATGAAACCCTGTCTCCACTAAAAATAGAAAAATTTGCCTCTGCCTCTGCCTCTGCCTCTGCCTCCTCTGCCTCCTCTGCCTCCTCTGCCTCTGCCTCTGCCTCTCCCCATGGTCTCCCTCTCCCCACGGTCTCCCTCTCCCCACGGTCTCCCTCTCCCTCTCTTTCCACGGTCTCCCTCTGATGCCGAGCTGAAGCTGGACTGTACTGCTGCCATCTCGGCTCACTGCAACCTCCCTGCCTGATTCTCCTGCCTCAGCCTGCCGAGTGCCTGCAATTGCAGGCGCGCGCCGCCACGCCTGACTGGTTTTCGTATTTTTTTGGTGGAGACAGGGTTTCGCTGTGTTGGCCGGGCTGGTCTCCAGCTCCTAACCGCGAGTGATCCGCCAGCCTCGGCCTCCGGAGGTGCCGGGATTGCAGATGGTGTCTGGTTCACTCAGTGCTCAATGGTGCCCAGGCTGGAGTGCAGTGGCGTGATCTCGTGTCGCTACAACCTCCACCCCCCAGCCGCCTGCCTTGGCCTCCCAAAGTGCCCAGAGTGCAGCCTCTGCCCGGCCGCCACCCCGTCTAGGAAGTGAGGAGCGTCTCTGCCTGGCCGCCCATCGTCTGGGATGTGAGGAGCCCCTCTGCCTGGCTGCCCAGTCTGGAAAGTGAGGAGCGTCTCCGCCCGGCAGCCGCCCCGTCCGGGAGGGAGGTGGGGGTCAGCCCCCGCCAGGCCAGCCGCCCTGTCCAGGAGGGAGGTGGGGGGGTCAGCCCCCCACCCGGCCAGCCGCCCCGTCCAGGAGGTGAGGGGCGCCTCTGCCCAGCTGCCCCTACTGGGAAGTGAGGAGCCCCTCTGCCCGACCAGCCGCCCCATCCGGGAGGGAGGTGGGGGGGTCAGCCCCCCGCCCGGCCAGCCGCCCCGTCCAGGAGGGAGGTGGGGGGGTCAGCCCCCCGCCCAGCCAGCCGCCCCGTCCGGGAGGGAGGTGGGGGTTCAGCCCCCCACCCGGCCAGCCGCCCCGTCCGGGAGGTGAGGGGCGCCTCTGCCCGGCCGCCCCTACTGGGAAGTGAGGAGCCTCTCTGCCCGGCCAGCCACCCCGTCCGGGAGGGAGGTGGGGGGGTCAGCCCCCCGCCCGGCCAGCCGCCTCGTCCGGGAGGTGAGGGGCGCCTCTGCCCGGCCGCCCCTACTGGGAAGTGAGGAGCCCCTCTGCCCGGCCACCATCCCGTCTGGGAGGTGTGCCCAACAGCTCATTGAGAACAGGCCATGATGACAATGGTGGTTTTGTGGAATAGAAAGCGGGGAAAGGTGGGGAAAAGATTGAGAAATAGGATGGTTGCCGTGTCTGTGTGGAAAGAAGTAGACATGGGAGACTTTTCATTTTGTTCTGTACTAAGAAAAATTCTTCTGCCTTGGGATCCTGTTGATCTGTGACCTTATCCCCCAACCCTGTGCTCTCTGAAACATGTGCTGTGTCCACTCAGGGTTAAATGGATTAAGGGCAGTGCAAGATGTGCTTTGTTAAACAGATGCTTGAAGGCAGCATGCTGGTTAAGAGTCATCACCACTCCCTAATCTCAAGTACCCAGGGACACAAACACTGCGGAAGGCCTCAGGGTCCTCTGCCTAGGAAAACCAGAGACCTTTGTTCACTTGTTTATCTGCTGACCTTCCCTCCACTATTGTCCTATGACCCTGCCAAATCCCCCTCTGTGAGAAACACCCAAGAATGATCAATAAAAAAAAAAAGAAAGAAAAAAAAAGAAAAATTAGGCCGGGCACGGTGGCTCACGCCTGTAATCCCAGCACTTTGGGAGACTGAGGCGGGTGGATCATGAGGTCAGGAGATCGAGACCATCCTGGCTAACACAGTGAAACCCCATCTCTACTAAAAATACAAAAAAATTAGCCAGGCATGGTGGCGGACGCCTATAGTCCCAGCTACTCGGGAGGCTGAGGCAGGAGAATGGCGTGAACCCGGGAGGCGGGGCTTGCAGTGAGCCAAGATCGCGCCACTGCACTCCAGCCTGGGCGACAGAGCAAGACTCCGTCTCAAAAAAAAAAAAAAAAAAAAAAAAAAAAAATTAGCCGGGTGTGGTGGTGTGCCTGTAATCCCAGCTACTTAGGAGGCTGAGGCCAGAGAATTGCTTGAACCTGGGAGGCGGAGGTTGCAGTGACCCGAGATTGCACCATTGCATTCCAGCCTGGGAGACAAGAGCAAGACTCCGTCTCAGAAAAAAAAAAAAAAAAAAAATGGCTTTGTGTTTCTTAAACAATGTAAAGTGCTTATTATATGATAGTCTTGTCAAGTCTTCACAGCTAATTACTTTGAAAATCATTTTCATGCCAGATATTGAGGGAGAAAATTTGCAGCAGGAGCAGTAATTCTTGTTTCACATAAATATCTAGAATGATGCCTGGAATCCAATAATTCTTTTGAGTTCCTGATAAGCGAAAAGCATTTATAAATGGTTACATTCTTAGAGAAATAAACTGCCTATCCATTACAAAAGCTAGCCCAGATTCTGATCATTACTCTTAAAGGTTGTAAAACATACTAAATACACAAAAGGAAAAAGAACATCTGTCAATTTCCATTTTGATCACAGGGGAGCCGAGTCTTTAAAATTGGTCCTGAAGCCAGAAGCTAGCACTATAAAGCATTAGTCCATTACAAAACCCAAATGCACGCAGAGATAAAGATTAGAGTTTCACACAACTGAGTACTCTCTCAGCACCTGCTAGCATAAACCATAAAGTATTAATCTTATTTGATCTCAGCATCTAAAATGATAGCTGCTCTTTCATAGAAGACTAATTTAGATTACAAATGTATATGGGTACAAATGATTAGTAATAGCTGCTATAATGGGCTTCCCTGCCCAGTAGCAAGCTTTGTAGTTTACTTTACTGACAAATTCATTTGGTTTACCTGTTATGATACACTATGGGAAGCTTTTTCCTTAATGTTCTAAGGATTTGTTGCTTACCTCCTATGCCTTTAAAAATTATTTTTTTCCTTTATAGCTAAAGGTGACTGGCTGAGAGTTCTTTATAATATCTTGCCCAGCTACTGCAAAGGCTGAGTGGATTAATATTTTGGCACACTCACAATATTTGTGGCACGTGCATGTACCAGAGCATACCCCATTTAGGAAGGTCTGCTCTGGAGCAGTGCTACTCAAAGTGTGGTCTGAAGACTAGTTTCAGTCCAGAGACTGTTAGTTTCTTCTAATCTGCAGCCATATAAATTGAGAGGAAACATTTAGAAACCCTTATAGTCATTTGATCTCGGTATTTTCGTTATTTTACAAAAGTATCTGATGCACATATGTTTAGAAATTTTTTAAAAAACTCGTCCTTTAACAGATAGTTTGAAAAGTCCTGCTACTTGTAAAAGTGGAGTTGGTGAGCCATAGAATATGTATAGTGTCTGCTTCAGTAGACAAGCCAAGTTGTTTTCCAGACCATTGCTCTAAATTATATATCTCCCTCTCTACTTCCTCCACATCATCACCAACACTTGGTATTGAAAGATTTTTTATTTTTGCCAGTTGGGTAGGTGTGAAAATGGTATCTCATTGTTTTATTTATTTATTTATTTATTTTTAGACAGAGTCTGTCTCTGTTGCCCAGTATCTTCTCTGGCATTGAGAAATTTGGCTCCCTTTTTCTATATTGCATTTATTTATTTGCTCAATCAATAAACTTGCTTGTTTGCTCAATTTAAATAATCTATCAACTACTCCAGCCTCCTTCTTTACACACCAATCCTGTGTCCCCATCCCACCAACCACATTTTCACCCTCTGTGTCTATGTTTCCACGACTCCTCACTCACCCCTCTGTGTCCTCAGCTGCCAGGCCTGCTAGCCTATGTCTCTGTGTGTTTCCTCAGCCCCTAATCCCATCATTGCATATCCTTGGCCATTCAGCCTGTTGACCTGTACCTCCATTAACTCCCCCTACTACCCTGTGTCCCCAGTCACCAGCCTCCTGGTCCACACTTCTGATACAACTTCCCAAGCCCCCTCATTTCCCAGTATCTTTGACCTCCGGACCCTGTACCCCGCCATGCCTCTATGCAACCTTACTGGCACCTCCATGCAGCTCTCTATTTACTGCCTACCTCTCCAGCTACCATTTTGACCCCTGTAAACCAGGAATGGAAGGGAAAAGGAGGGCAATTTTTACTCTTATTCTCATCTGAGTGTACAGCAGAGTTTACCAGAGGCTTCACAAATGATCAGGCCATTGCTCTGGCCGCTAATGGAATGAGTACTTGTGTTTTATAAGTCTGAAGATTTAGCTTCAATGTGTTCATCAGTTTTGTTTTTTGTATGACATTGAAGATCCAAAAATAACCTAAAATCCAAATGATAATTAAAAGAAACCACCAATGGAAGAAAAAACATTGATAATGTGTTTTCTTTTTTCTAATTAATTCTGGAATAGTAGAGCCCTTAGAATGCTTTGATGGCCACCTATTGCTTAATCGTATGTAACTGTGATTGATCTGACCCAGACTACTCTTCCATTAGTTATTATATATAATGAATATCAAATAATAACCAATCAGCATAGAACACACTCAGTAATTTGTAGGTTTGTTCTTTCATCAAAAACATTTATAGCTTTCAGCTTTTAAAAATAGTTCTGGAGTACAGCAAGATAGAGAAGGGGAAAATTGGCCTCTATATTACAGAGGATAGCAGATGAACAGGGTTGATTTCATTTTGGGCACTTTGCCCAGGACACTTTTAATAGCATATATAGTTACTCTAGGGATTCTGAATCTGTGGTTATGTCAGGCTTACACATTTATTCTTTAAAAGGAAAATTTGCAAGTTATTAGACTTCAGGTACATTAGTATGACTTAAATTTTTAATTTTTAAAGAAGTTTCTGTAACGCAGTCATTGAAAATTTGTGGTGTGAGGGCTGGATTCCTTAATATTAAAACTAACCTAATCATGGATAGAAAAATATTTTAAACTTTCTTCTTCTAAAACACAGTGTGTTCCTCAGTTCTTTCAAAGTTTGTTTTTTTGTTTTGTTTTGTTTTGTTTTGTTTTGTTTGAGACAGAATCTCGCTCTGTCGCTCAGGCTGGAGTGCAGTGGCACAATCTCGGCTCACTGCAACCTCTGCTTCCCAGGTTCAAGCAATTCTCATGCCTCAGCCTCCCTAGTAGCTGGGATTACGGGCACACACCACCACGCCCAGCTTATTTTTTGTATTTTTAGTAGGGACGGAGTTTGGCCATACTGGCCAGGCTGGTCTCAAACTCCTGAGCTCACGCAGTCCCCCCACCTCAGCCTCCCAAAGTGCTAGGATTACAGGTATGAGCCACCGCACCTGACCAGCTCTTTCAAAGTTTAAGTCAAATTTTAAAAGATGTCTAAACTAGGAATTGGAAGTTTATTTTAACGTGAAGAATTTTTAATCTTAGTATTTTAAAGGAATTTTTGTATACTCAGGAATCAAGTATTTTAGAAAAAAATTAAATTTTAGAGATGGTGTACTTTCTATTTCACTACTTTATAATTTAGAATTATTAACCTTAGAATTTGCTTTCAAAATTGGAAGGAAAAGCCGGGCGCAGTGGCTCATGCCTGTAATCCTAGCACTTTGGGAGGCCAAGGTGGGCGGATCACCTGAGGTCAGGAGTTCAAGACCAGCCTGGCCAACATGGTGAAACCCCATCTCTACTAAAAATACAAAAATTAGCCAGGCATGGTGGCGTGTGCCTGTAATCCCAGCTACCCGGGAGGCCGAGGCAGGAAAATTGCTAGAACCCTGGAGGCAGAGGCTGCAGTGAGCCAAGATTGCGCCACTGTACTCCAGCCTAGGTGACAGAGCGAGACTCTGTCTCAAAGAAAAAAAAAATTGGAAGGAAAAATATCAATGTGGGCTGGGCACAGTTGCTCATGCCTGTAATCCCAGCACTTTGGGAGGCCAAGGTGGGCAGATGACCTGACGTCAGGAGTTCAAGACCAGCCTGGCCAACATGGTGAAACCCCGTCTCTACTAAAAATACAAAAATTAGCCTGGCATGGTAGCAGGCACCTGTAATCCCAGCTACTTGGGAGGCTGAGGCAGGAGATTTGCTTGAACCTGTGAGGTGGAGGTTGCAGTGAGGGGAGATTGTGCGGCTGCACTCCAGCCTTAGAGACAAGAGCAAGACTCCATCTCAAAAAAAAAAAAAAAAGAAAGAAAGAAAAATACCAATATGGTAATAGAGCTTGTGTTGAGATAGTGGCTTTGAGTGAACTTTTCCTTTTTTCTGTTTTCCAAAATTTCAACAATATGTTCATTACTTTTATTATTTATAAAATTATTTATTAACTATCCCCCAAAATTAGCTTTAAGAAGCACTGGACATTAAAAAGGCTAAGATTCTTTTTTTTTTTTGAGATGGAGTCTCACTCTGTCGCCCAGGCTGGAGTGCAGTGGCGTGATCTCGGCTCACTGCAACCTCCGCCTCCCGGGTTCAAGCAATTCTCCTGCCTCAGCCTCCTGAGTAGCTGGGACTACAGGCACATGCCACTACGCCCGGCTAATTTTTTGTATTTTTAGTAGAGATGGGGTTTCACCATGTTGGCCAGGCTGGTTTGGAACTCCTAACCTCAAGTGATCTAACTGTCTTGGCCTCCCAAAGTGTTAGGATTATAGGCGTGAGCCACCACATCCAGCCTTGAATTCCTTTAAATATTATGCTACTTTGTTTGCTCTTCCAAACTCTAGTTGGTATTACTTAATAATGGGGTCTTTCCATTAGAGTTGTAACTTTTTTCCATTATTAGTTATAACTTTGATATGATGGGTAGGTAAATAGATAAATTAGATAGCTATGAGTCTTCACTAACTTGGGATATTCTTAGCTTTTTAACATTTCGATGGGTACCATCCCAGTGTCTCAGATGCTTGATAGCAATATATAGTCACAGTACATTTCTTAAGTGATAAATAGTAGCTACAAGTGTTGATGGTTCCGGTTGGCTATATTAGTCCCAGTAGTCCAATGGACTGCTACCAAAATAGTACAGTACATGAGATATACCATGATAAAACCACAACCAGAATTGTGGTCATTAATCTCCTACTTTTTCTTCTTTTTTGACCTTTTTATTTTTATAAGGTTGTCTTTCTGTTTTCCTAATCCTTATTTGTAAAGTCTAAAATGAATAGCTTTTATATAAGGATTTAGAATATTTTAAGGCCAGGCACGGTGACTCATGCCTGTAATCCCAGCACTTTGGGAGGCCAAGGCGGGTGAATCACTTGAGCTGAGGAGTTCAAAACCAGCCTGGGCAACATAGGGAAACCCCATCTTTACAAAAAATGCAAAAATTAGCCAGGCGTGGTGCTCTGCACCTGTGGTCCTCCTACTCTGGAGGCTGAGGCAGGAGAATTGCTTGATCCCAGGAGGTTAAGGCTGCAATGAACTGTTATCACACCACTGCACTCCAGCCTGGGCAACAGAGCAAACCCTATCTCGAAATTATATATATATATATATATATATATATATATATATATATATATATATATACACACACACACACACACACACACACACACACATTTTATATGTATACATATATTAAACATATACACATAATATATATATATAATATATGTACATATAATGGGTCAAAAAATTAAAAACACAAAATATTTAAACATTGTGGGTGACAGAGTGAGATTTGGTCTCAAACAAATAAATAAATAAAGGAATTCATTTGGTAAGTACTATTTATTATCTGTTATGTATTAGGCACTGTGCCAGACACAGAGGATACAACGTAGAGTTGCTTAGAGCAAGATACTTGCAGGTCCTGCCCTCATCAAGCTTAAGGAATAGTGGGGAAAACAAATACTGAACTGAAGTTTAAAATGATGGCAAACATTACACATAACTGAATAGGCCCTGCAAATAAGTAACAGGAGTTTAACCTGGTTAGGGATGAAGACAGGAAGATGGGGGTTGGGAAGTTTTATAATAAAACTAAATTATTAAGTTATTATATAATATATAATTATTATATAAAGTTTTCTAATAAAACGAAATTATTATATACGTGTGACATGTTGGGAAGTAGAGAAGAAAAAATGTGAATATATTGAGTTTATACAGATGTATGATATTTAGCTACTACTTTTCTACTCATTAGATTACATATTGTGTTTTTTTTACAGTTCAAACGATATGTCAATAAACTTCGAAGCAAGAGTACAGTTTTCAAAAAGAAGCATCAGATAATAGCTGAACTTAAAGCTGAATTCGGTCTTTTGCAGAGGACTGAAGAACTTCTTAAGCAACGTCATGAAAATATTCAACAACAACTGGTAATACAGTATTATCTTGGGCTACTATAAATACAAATGCCAGGAGGTTTATGGGTTACAGCTTTATACTGAAGTCATTGTTTTTACTGGAAAAATGATAAAAGTATTACTTTTCTCTGATTAATTACAGACATGACATATAAGTTGATTCATTTATTTTTAATGTAGCAGTAAGCACTGGCTTTTGTGTGTGTGCTGACTTCGGGGTTATTAATAGAAAAACTTGAATTCCAAGTAGGTTTTTTCTTTTGGTTAGTTAGTTAATATGAGTAAAATTATCATACCAAGAGAGTGACTGTAAAATATTTTTTTATCATGGCCTGCTGGGCAGAAATTTCTAAGCAGCCACTTCCAAGAAGCTTTGGAAAGAAATATCCAGGGAAGTGCTGTGTGGAAGTCTGCCTCCAGGCTTATTCCTTATGTGTTTGTGCCTTGGTTGTCTGAAAAAAGTTAAACCCAAAGTAGTCCCACAGCAAAGTTGTTCTCATTGTGGATGCCAGTTCCTCAGGGTTTCCTTCATTTGGCTTTTTTTTTTCTTTCACCAACGAGGAAACTTTCATCTGGGTGCTGGTTTACCAGCTAGCAATAATCTGGTAGAAGTAAGTGGAATTTCAACCAGTTGTGTTTCCTTTTAACTGGCAATATGAACTGTCTCATGCTGATGAATATTATTTGCTTTTAGGGAACTTAAGACTGAAAATTTACTGTGAATCAACATGGATTCTAACAGCACTAACTTTAAAACTGATAGTAGTAACTGCATTATTGTTTACTTCAAAATATCTTCTAATTTCTATTGTGATTTCTTTGACCTTTTGGTCATGGCTTAAAATCCAATATTTGGGGGATTTTTCTAGTTACCTTTCTATTATGAATTTCCAGGTTATTTCCATTGTGACCAGAGAGCACACTCTGATTTCAGTCCTGTGAAATTTGTAGTCTTGCATTATGGCCCAGCATACGGTCTGTTTTGGTAATTGTTTCATGTGCAGTGAAGAGAATGTATATTCTGCAGTTGTTGGGAATAGTATTCTAAATATGTCAATTCAGTCAGTATGTTAGCCATGATATTCACATCTTCCATATCCCTGTTGATTTTTTGTCTGCCTGTTCCATCAGTTACTGAGAGAAGTGTGTTAAAAATCTCTAACTATAATTATGGCTTTGTTGCTTTTTTTAGTTCCATCAGTTTTTGCTTCATATTTTTTTCTTAAGTTGGGTCCCTAGAAGCAGAGCTCGAGAAGGGAATTCTTTGTGCTAGTGATTTATTGAGGGAGTACCTTCAGAAGGAGGGGAGTGAGGGAAGCAGATGAGGCAGCAGAAAAAAGCCAAGCAAGAAAAGGACATGGTCTCAACTGGAGCTGGCTTCATTCTGATCCCATGATCAACTTTGGAACAAATTGCACTGGAGTTGATTCCATCTTGATGCAAGGGGGCTGGCCTTTTGTACCCCATGGCAGTCAGTCATTTGGCTGTGGTCAAGTGTAACCTCTTAGGTGAGACACCTCCCATTTCGCTGAGGGCACTCTCTGGAGAAAGGGGTAACTATGAGCTATTTAGCAGTCAACATTCATAACAGTTTGCAAATGAGGTCTGAGTGGGGCACCAGCAACATCTACTACAGTTCACCCCTTGCACTAGTAGGATCTACTTGTTTGTCACATTAAATTTACTCCACCCAGCTATAGCTTCTATAGGATTCTAGTTGGTCGCAATTTCTAGGAAAACTTATAGGAGAAAGATTAGTGGGACAAATGGAAACTCTCATTGCTACATTTGGTTCCAAGGACATAACTGATATTCAACATCTCCTTCCTTTACTATCCATTCTAGAGTTCCCTCACCTCAGCTAGTACCTCCTCTGGTTTAGATGACTTACTTGGTGGGATGACCCAGTTCCTCATCCTTGAGAAGTGTGAGACTCTAGTAATCATGCCCTTACCAGGCCATGGCTGCTATACTTCCCCATTTACAGTTAAAACTGGGCATGGGAGTACCAAGATATGCCCTAATGGATCATCTGAGTCCTAAATATATTTCTTTCTGTCCCTGTTATATAGCAGCATCTATATAGCCTTATGATACCCTGCTTTCTTTGCCTGCTGATCTATTGACATGAGAAGCTCAAGTGACCAGATGGTAGTCAGAACATTAAGTGTCAAGGGCCTCTTAATGTGCCTTCTGATGGAAGCATGCCATCAGAATATCTCTGGCAACCAGAGTATCTATACCCACAGAGCCTACAGTTGTCTGGAAGGGAAGCATAATTCCCTAAAGTGGATCACTGGGGATCATGGTTCGTGGTGACACCTATACTTTCATCTCATGGTTCTGAGACCTATGCTTTCTATCGGGAACATAGCACCATATCATGGGCATCGGTTTAAGGTGTACACCCCATCCTAAAGGTAGAACTCATTTTCATAGGCCATCCAGTTCCAACTGGGGCCTTACGTTTAAGACACTGTTCCACTATTCTGTCAGGCCATCAGCTTTCCAGATAGTGTAGTATGTGGTAAAATTACTGAATTATATGGTCATACGAATGCTATCATACTTCCTTTGCTGTAAAGTGTGTCCCTTGGTTTGAGGTGATATTATGTGAGATTCCACATCAGTAGACTGAATGCTCTTAGCCCTTGGATAGTAGTGCTGGCTGAAGTACAATGGGCAAGAAAGGCAAACCTATACTCAGAATATGGATCAGTCCCATTAAGGATGAAATGTCACCTTTTTCAGGGCAGAAAGGGTCCGATGTTATTAAATTGCCACAAAATAGGGGGTTGGTTTCCTCAAGGGATGATTCCTTACCCAGAGCTCAGGAATGGTCTCTGTTGCTGGCAGGTCAGACGTTTGATATTGGCAGCAGCTAGATGAGCATTGATGAGAGAGAGCCCATGCTATTTGGCTCATACGTAACTTCCATCTCTACCAACAAAGCCATTCTGTTTGTGAGTCCATTGTTTAAGCACTGTGTGGGCCAATGTCAGAGGCTGGCTGACATCTGCTGGCCAAATCATCCTTTCCACTTGGTTGTTCAGTGCATCTTCTGCAGTGGACATTTTCCGGTTTCCATGTAATGAAAAGATCATTATACTTAGTGCCTACTCCCATAGGTTCAAACACATGCCTCTTTCCTAGACCTCCTTGTCCTTGCTGTCTTGCATCTTCCAGGGCCTTGACCAACAAGCTGAGCCATTTGCCACTGCCCAGAGGATACAGGATAATCTGGGGATTCAAGGTTCTCAAGTGGGTCTATCCAGATACCCCCATCCCAGACTCAGCACCCTTTTTCTTCTCTGTCAGGGCCCTGACTTTGGCATAGAATATTTGCCTAGACTAAGAATTCAACTTTCTCTGGAGTTTTGCCAGTCTTAAAATTAGTCCTGTGCCTGGTTTTCAGCTCCCTCTGCACTTTAGCCAGGGGAAATGAGAGTTTCTTTAAAGCCCTTAAGGAGGTTCTCTAACTTGATCACTTTGCTTTAAATTACAAATTAGGCTAGGCATGGTGGCTCACGCCTGTAATCCCAGCACTTTGGGAGGCCGAGGCGGGTGGATCACGAGGTCAGGAGATCGAGACCATCTTGGCTAACACGGTGAAACCCTGTATTTACTAAAAATGCAAAAAATTATCCGGGCGTGGTGGCGGGCACCTGTAGTCCCAGCCACTCGGGAGGCTGAGGCAGGAGAATGGCGTGAACCCCGGAGGCAGAGCTTGCAGTGAGCCGAGATCATGCCACTGGACTCCAGCCTGGGTGACAGAGCGAGACTCCATCTCAAAAAAAATAAATAAATAAATTACAAATTAATGGATTTGAGCCTGTTATTTTATCTCTTCAACCATCAGTGGAGTTTAGTGATAGCCACCCCAGTTCCATAGTCCTTATAGTTACTATTTCTCCTCAAATGCCAGAAACATTACACCGTCTAGTGCATCTTTGTATCAGTTCAGATCCTCCAAGAAGCAGACACTGAGATGGGATTACATGTACAAAAGATTTATTGAAGGACATACTTATGAAGGGTAAAGGGAAGGGAGCAGGAGGAGGCAGGGAAAGCCTTCAGGCTCTGATACAGGTCTGACACCTGTGAAAGGAAAGGGCAAAGGAAGATTGGGTAGAAATAGCCTCAAACTTCAACACAACTCTGAGAAAGTTTTGGTCAGGCTGATGGAGAGTTCCTGAGCCAGTCACCTATTAGAGGAGTCCCTTGTCAGGCAGGACTGGGCCAACACTAGTACTACTGCTGTACTCAGTCATTGGCTAAGAGCAGCTCCAGGGAAGCATAGCGTTGGTGCAAACATGATGATGGACCCAGAGGGGCAGCAGCTATGGATATCAGTCAGCTCTGTTCCTCTCAGCCAACTCTCTTGAAAGCAATCTGAGCCATAAATTTTGTTGGCCACCACAATCCCCATCCACCTGTATTCTTCCCCAATTCACCACAAGTGAAAGTCTTATTAATTGCACTGCTGCAACATGCCTGGGACTGTCAGTACTCTACCTGCCACAGTAATAGAGTCCTTAGTTCCATTTAGCCAGTGAGTGATTGCACTCTAGTGCTTATGCCAGAGATTATGATATACACCCTTGACTGATTACAGTCTTCACTAAATTTTTTTTTCTTTTTTTTGAGACAGAGTCTCTCTCTGTTGCCCAAGCTGGAGTGCAGTGGCACGATCTCAGCTCACAGCAACCTCCGCCCCCTAGGTTCAAGTGATTCTCCCGCCTCAGCCTCCCAAGTAGCTGGGACTACAGGAGTGTGCCACTATGCCCAACTATTTTTTTGTATTTTTTTTTTAGTAGAGACGGGGTTTCACCATGTTAGCCAGGATGGTCTCAATCTCCCGACCTCGTGATCTGCCCACCTCGGCCTCCCAAAGTGCTGGGATTACAGGTGTGAGCCACTGCACCCAGCCAGTCTTCACTAAATTTTTACTATTGCCGTGTCCTGGGCAATGCAAGAACCTAAAACACTTTAACTTTGTTTACCTCCTTCCCATATTTAGTGCTATTGTTGATAATATTTTTTTAATTCTAAATATAATTTTCTTGAGAAGGGGTCTTGTTCTGTTGCCCAGGCTGGAATGTAATGGTACAGTCAGAGCTCACTGCAGCCTCAACCTCCTGGGCTCAAGTGATTCTCCCAAGTACCTGGGACTACAGGCGTGCACTACCACACCCAGCTAATTTTTATGTGTATTTTTTTTTCAGACATGGGGTCTCACTATGTTGTCCAGGCTGGCCTCAAACTCAGGGGCTCAGGCAATCCTCCTACCTCAGCCTCCCAAAATGCTAGGATTACAGGTGTGAGCCACTGTGCTGGGGCCTAGATAGATTTAAATCGTACATGATATTATGTTCAATATTATTCTAGATTATCTACCTGTTTACTCTTTTCATGGTTCTTCTTTTCTTCCTTCATCATTGTTCTTCTATTGGTATCTGTCTAATGAGCTCACCTTAAGTATTTTATTTAGTTCAGGTCTGCTTAAATCTTCTCAGTTTTTGTTTTTCTTAAGACACCTGTATTTTACCTTCATTTTGAAGCACATTTTTACTGAATGTAGAATTTTTGGTTGGCAGCTATTTTCTTTCGGCACTTTAAAGATTTAATTCCATTGTCTTCTGACTTCCATTATTTATTTCATAACATCAACTGTACATCTTGTTTGTTTGTTTGTTTGTTTGTTTGTTTGTTTGTTTTAAGGTAGACTGTTATTCTCTGGTTTGTAAGATCTTCTATCTGTGTTTGGTTGTTCAGTGGTTTTACTATGACTTTTCTAGGTGTGATTTTCTTTTTTATTCACCTGGCTTAAGGTCTGTAAAGCTTCTTGAATATGTGGCTTTATGTCTTTGTTCATTTTTGAAAAGTTCTCAGCCAATGTTTATTTATTTATTATGTCTTTCTTTCCTTTCTTTCTTTCTTTTTTTATTTGTTTGTTTTTGTTTTGTTTTTTTGAGACAGGGTCTCACTCTGTTGCCCAGGCTGGAGTGCAGTGGTGTGATCTCGGCTCATTGCAGCCTCTACTTCCTGGGCTCAGGCGATTCTCCCACCTCAGCCTCCTAAGCAGCTGGGACCACAGGCCCGAGCCACCATGCTCAGCCATTTTGTGTGTGTGTGTATTTTTGGTAGTTTTTTTAGACACAGGGTTTTGCCATGATGCCCAGGCTGGTCTTGAACTCCTGGGTCCAAACGATCCACCTGCCTTGCCTCCCAAGGCTGGGCTTACAGGCATGAGCCACCACGCCCAGCCCAGTATTTCTTCAATTATTACTACAATCTCATTCTGTCCTCTTTTACTTTAACTCCAACTACATGCATGTTGGACATTTTCACCACTTTCCATGTATTTCTTATGGGCTTTGTGTTTTTCTTTTTCTTTTTTTCATTTTCTATTATTTTTTTCCTCTCTGTGATTCAATCTGTATTTTTTTCTACTGTGCTATTTTTCCAGTTGATTAATCTTCTTCTTTTTTGTGTGTCTAGTCTGTTATTTAATTCATTTGTTGAATTCTTAATATCAGTTATTGTATTTCTCAGTTTTAGAATTTCCATATGATTCAATTTTATAGATTGCAGTTATTTGTAACATTCTTCAACTTTTTGTTTATTTTCTTGAATATATTAATCTCAGCTATTTTAAAGTTCATGTCTGAAATTTATTTGAGCATCTATTCCTGTTGTTTTTGTTTTTGTTTTTGTTTTTTGAGACAGAGTCTCACTCTGTCACCCAGGCTAGAGTGCAGTGATGTGATCTTGGCTCACTGCAGCCTCCACCTCCTGGGTTCAAGTGATTCTCCCACCTCAGCCTCCTGAGTAGCTGGGA